>NC_000003.12:197027563-197178562 GCF_000001405.40 Homo sapiens
CCTGAGGCTCCCACCTCCTGGCCTGGGCCCGGCGGGAGGCAAGCTGGCCTCGTGGCCAGGGAGACTCGGGAGATCCTATCGGCCGGGCCTGGCAGGGCGAGGTCGGCTCCTTTCCTGGTGAATGGGGCTGTTGTGTGCTCCCTCCTGAGTCACAGCCCTCTTGTCTGGCAGGGTGGAAGGGAGAGGACTCACCGCGATGAGCTGGACGCAGTGGTCGGCGGAGGTGCCCCGGACGCAGAGGAGGGAGGGCTGGATGCCCGCTTCCCGGAAGGCCTCGCTCATGTTGCCGCACTTGTGCTGCTCTGGGTCCGAGGTGGCGCACCACCGCACCTCCATGCCACCGAGCACTGCGGGCAGGGGACCGTGAGGCCCGGCTCCCCCGCCCTGCCCAGCCCCGGCCCACCATGGAGGGTGGCTCCAGCAGTTCTGTGTGAGCCCATTCGCCTGGACAGCCAGTCCTCTAGGGCAGCCCTGCCCTCCCACAGGGAGGCACTAGGCGCAGAGACAGGGGAAGGGCTGGTATTCCTGTGCTCAGGGCCTCTCTGACCAGGAGCACGGCTGCTGGCAAATGGAATGGCTCAGAACCCGGCCCTTTATGGAGGAATGGGAGGGTCTACAGGTCGCTTCTCAGCTACCCCCACCTGGTGGGAGCACTGGCTAGGGAGTCTCGGCAGGCCCTGGAAGTGGAAGCTTCTTCCCCTCTCCAGGCCTCCCGAAGAGGGTGCTCGTGTAGGTTCCCTCACCCAGCAGTGTCCCTGGGCCTTCCTCATGAACTGGGACGGGAGAGTGAGGTGAGGGGGCTGTGGGTGGGCTGCCCTCCAGGAGCCCTGTCCCCTCGGGGAGTGTCTGCGATGATGCTGGCTGCAAAGCCACCCTCGGTGGGCACAGTGCCAGGCCCTGCCAAGGGAAGACGGCAGGCACAGAGGGGAGGCTGAGGACCCATCAGGGTAGGTTCAAGCCTCTCTGAGCCTGCTTCATCTTCTGAGAGAGCAGATAAAAACCCCACCTTCTGTGTTGAAAGTAAACCCCCTTGTAGAGAGCCTGAGACACCCACATCCTCAGTGGACTTCTGCTTATGCCTCAGGATCTGACCGGGTCAGAGTCCCCGAGAGCTCCCAGGCTAGGGGCCCAGAGGAAGGGGTGCTGGAGCCCCTTGGGGCCGATGACTTTCAGGCCTGAGCTCCTCTGCCATTCACCCTGCCCCAGCCAGCACTGCCAGAGGCCTGTGCAGGAGGGAGGGAAACGCATGACTCCGCCCGAAACCAGGTCACCCTCCCGTGGCAGCCCCACCAGCCCAAGGGCCGAGACTGAAGCTTCCGCCACAGCCCTCCCCTCCCCACTCCTGGCGGAGGCCTGGGAAGTCGAACTGCCCTCCCCTCCGCAGCGCTCCAAGCCCCCCACCACCCAGGCGGGAAACTGCAAAGTTCAGACGGGGCGGGGGTGGCGGTGGCTTCATCGTTTGCATTGATGAGTGCGTCGCCTGCGGCCACAGCGGTGCCACGAACTCCATCCCCTCGGCGGTCGCCGCCCGCGATCCCCGCGAGCCGCTCCCCGAGGTCCCGCCTCCCGTCCCACCATCCCGGGCCCTGACTCCCCGGGGCGCCGACGCGAGGGGACCCGGCCTCCGTCTCCACCTCCATCCCTGCATGTGCCAGAAACCCCCGGGCGGACTCCCGCGCCTGCCGGTCAGTCCCTCTGAATCTTCTCCCGCGGGGGCTCGGGAGAAAGAGCTGCTCCGAGCCCCCAAAGTCTTCCTGAGTTCCTGCGCCCGTCGGGAGGGGCCGCCCTCCGGGAGCTCCTCTCCACACCCCGAGGCCTCCCCACCACGCCTCAGCCCGCGCTTCTCCTTGGAGCGTCGGAAGCCTCGGGTGTTCGAGGCCGCCTCCTCCAAGAAGCCTTCCAGACTTCCCCGTCTGCGCTTCAGTGCTAGTTCCCTCCGCCGTCCTCACTCGACCCCGAGCCCCTGCCTCCCCCGTCTCACTGCCCCGGAGCCGCAGGCTCAGGCACATTTCCAGCCCCGGGACCTGCTCAGCCGGGCCGCGGCGCCCCGGGACCCCCGCCCGCCTTTGGCTCTCACAGCGGGGCCTCACCGGTGCGCAGAGCCAGGAGCAGCCACAGAGCCCCGCTCGGACCCCGCATGGCGCCGTCGGGGCTGGCTGGGGCCGGGCTGGGGCTGGGTCCGGGTCCGAGGAGGTCCGCAGCAGCCGGGCTTCCTCCCTGCTCCCCCTCGCGCTGGCCCGAGCTCCTTAAGTGCGGCCGCGAGTTCCCGGGCGGAATCCACGCCCCTGGGGCGCAGGTCACCTCCCGCCGACCCCGGACCCCGCCCCTGGGCGGCCCCGGCGCGCCCCCTGCTGGAGGCCTCCCGCTCGGGCCCGGGCGCCGCTGCTCGGGGCTCTCGCCTCAGCCTCCTACCCCGCGTTCCAGGGTATCCTCCCCTCCTCGCGCCCTAGAAAGACTCCAGATACCGTGTCTAACTGGAGAGAGAAAAGCTCAGACGTGGAAGGAAGGAGAGGTCAGAATCCCAGAGTCGGGGCTGGAGGGCAGCTGGAGGATGATCTCATTCACGCAGCAGCTCCCTCCCAGCACAGCTGCACAGAGGATCTGGGATACGGGGGAGCCCAGGCCGAGCGCCCTGGCGAGGGGGGAGCCGGGCAGGGGCATCTCGGCCACAGCTGCACAGAGGATCTGGGATACGGGGGAGCCCAGGCCGAGCGCCCTGGCGAGGGGGGAGCCGGGCAGGGGCATCTCGGCCACAGCTGCACAGAGGATCTGGGATACGGGGGAGCCCAGGCCGAGCGCCCTGGCGAGGGGGGAGCCGGGCAGGGGCATCTCGGCCACAGCTGCACAGAGGATCTGGGATACGGGGGAGCCCAGGCCGAGCGCCCTGGCGAGGGGGGAGCCGGGCAGGGGCATCTCGGCCTAGCCGACTGCCTCTCCTCGGGCCTAGAGACGGGAGGTGACTTGCCCGAGTCAGGCATCCAGTCAGTGGCAGAGCCAGCTGATTGGAAGGTGAGAAGAGGACCAGAGAGGAATTGGAGGAAGCGGAAAAGGAGAAACAGGCGGAGAAGGGGAGGAAGAGAGTGAAGAAGGTGAGGGAGGAAAGGGTGGGTTGACCGTATTTCTAGGACAGTGGTTCTCAGTGTGGTCCCTAGGCCAGCAACGTGAGCATCACCCTGGAACTTGCTGGAAATGCAAGTGCTCAGGCCCCACCTCCGACCCACTGGATCGACAGCTCTGGGGGCGGGGCCCACAATCTGTTTTTATTTCGGGGCACAGCAAATGTTGAGAACCACTGTCGCAGGCGGGCAAAAGCGGCACTCCCCATGTGGTTGGGGATGCGGGGAATGAACTGAAGACATTGTTAGTCACCTGCCTCCATTTAGGCCTCACCTTTATGTCATCAGCCCCTCTGAGACTCAGAAATGATGTCTCTCTCTGACATGGGTAAGTACAACAGTGAGAGAGAAGACATCCCTCTGAGTTTGTCTGTCCTTGAGCTTGCTCTGCGCCCTGGGGAAGGAAGGCCTCCCTCCTATGGGGCCATGAAGCTACTGCTTATCACACACTGGATCAGGGGAAGGAACATGGGCTGGGCTTCAGGAGACTCGAGCTCTACTTTTTAAAAACCAGCGACTTACAGACCCTGGGCGAGTTCGTCGCCCTCTCTGGGCTTGTTCCCCACATGTAAAAGGTAGGTCATGATGGCCGTGACGTGCCATACTTTCCGTCTCCTGTCTGCTCTGGAGGACTTGTGCTGTGGAAGCTGTTTCTCCATCCCCCCAGATGGATCCCTTCTTCCTAGTTTGCACAAAGGTGCCGAATGGACTAGCAGGCAGCCTTGCTAGAGGGGCTGATGGCTTGTCCTAAGAAGATGGAATAAATAGAAGAGTCCTTAACAAGCCTCGTTCTCCTGACCACGAGGATAGAAAGGCTCAGTTGGCACACTCCAGGAGCCACCAGATGACTGGCAGGATCTGTTTGATGACTAAGTCCTTCCTTTGGCAAAACTCCACGTGACGCTGATAGGGAGTGAGAACAACCATAACCTAAGAGGTTTGCTGGGCTCTTTCACAATGAAGTTCTTCCCTTATCTCTTGGGTGTCATTCAGCTGTGACTCATCAGTGAACTTGCTGCCTCTGGGTTCTCAGGGATTCTACATCGGGCCCGTTGGCCCAGGGTTGGCATGAACGCGCATCACCTTTGTGGAATGGGGAAGTCTGCCTCAGCTTGAGCCAGGATTCTGCCATTTCTGGGGTCCGGACATACTTGGGTGTGCCAGAGAAATGGGTGGGATGTAATGAGAGAGTAATAAGCCAGTAGTTTAACCCACAAACAGCCTTCTGGAGGAGCAGAAGCTGAGGTTAGTTTGGTCCCCATTCTAGACTCATATTGAGATTAGAGGGAGAGCATACAGACTAAAGGAACTGGTTTCACTGACACTTCGATCAGATTCTGGGGCCTAAGCAGCTCTGCCTGAGTCTCCCTGACCCTACCCCATAATATGAAATAAAAAGAGCTCTTCTCCACTCTTGCCAAAGACACAGCTCTGGCTCTCCAAGGATTCAGAGTGCCCAGAAGCATTGAGCTTGCTTGTCAGGGAATCGAGGAACAGTACATCCCATGGAGGGAATACACTACAGGCAGCCTCAGAAAGTGGGGGCCTTTGACAGGAGACTGAGAAGGTCCATCAGCAGGTAGTGGCTAATGAGCCAGCAAAGGGTGAAATCCTTTACCCAAAACGAAGTAAAATATTGTACTTAGGAAAAAATATTTTTCAACAAATCATAATTTCTGTCTGTCTATTTCTATGGCCCGCAATGTCTTTAAGAACAAGCCAAATAGTTTTTATTCTGGGGAACCCTTGGAAGGCTGGTGTGCCCTGAGAAAGTTTGGGTGTGAGCACCTGCAGTAGTGTGATGTCAGAGGATGTTACGCTCTTGCTGACTGGTTGGGGTGTCAGCACCTGCAGTCGTGTGATGTCAGAAGATTTTACACTCTTGCTGACTGGTTGTGGTGTGAGCACCTGCAGTAGTGTGATGTCAGAGGATGTTACCCTCTTGCTGACTTGTTGGGGTGTGAGCACCTGAAGTAGTGTGATGTCAGAGGATGTTACACTCTTGCTGATGGGTTGGGGTGTGAGCACCTGCAGTCGTGTGATGTCAGAAGATTTTACACTCTTGCTGACTGGTTGGGGTGTCAGCACCTGCAGTAGTGTGATGTCAGAGGATGTTACACTCTTGCTGACTGGTTGGGACATGAGCACCTGCAGTAGTGTGATGTCAGAGGATGTTACACTCTTGCTGATGGGTTGGGTGTGAGCACCTGAAGTAGTGTGATGTCAGAAGATTTTACACTCTTGCTGACTGGTTGGGGTGTGAGCACCTGCAGTAGTGTGATGTCAGAGGATGTTACCTCTCTTGCTGACTGGTTGGGGTGTGAGCACCTGCAGTCGTGTGATGTCAGAAGATTTTACACTCTTGCTGACTGGTTGGGGTGTGAGCACCTGCAGTAGTGTGATGTCAGAGGATGTTACACTCTTGCTGACTGGTTACTGTGTGAGCACCTGCTGTAGTGTGATGTCAGAGGATGTTACACTCTTGCTGACGGGTTGGGGTGTCAGCATCTGCAGTAGTGTGATGTCAGAGGATGTTACCCTCTTGCTGACTTGTTGGGGTGTGAGCACCTGCAGTAGTGTGATGTCAGAGGATGTTACACTCTTGCTGATGGGTTGGGGTGTGAGCATCTGCAGTAGTGTGATGTCACAGGATGTTACGCTCTTGCTGACTGGTTGGGACGTTAGCACCTGCAGTAGTGTGATGTCACAGGATGTTACACTCTTGCTGACTGGTTGGGGTGTGAGCACCTGCAGTAGTGTGATGTCAGAGGATGTTACACTCTTGCTGACTGGTTTGGGTGTGAGCACCTGCAGTAGTGTGATGTCAGAGGATGTTACACTCTTGCTGACGGGTTGGCGTGTGAGCACCTGCAGTAGTGTGATGTCAGAGGATGTTACTCTCTTGCTGACTGGTTTGGGTGTGAGCACCTGCAGTAGTGTGATGTCAGAGGATGTTACACTCTTGCCAACTGGTTGGGGTGTGAGCATCTGCAGTAGTGTGATGTCAGAGGATGTTACACTCTTGCCAACTGGTTGGGGTGTGAGCATCTGCAGTAGTGTGATGTCAGAGGATGTTACTCTCTTGCTGACTGGTTACTGTGTGAGCACCTGCAGTAGTGTGATGTCAGAGGATGTTACACTCTTGCTGACTGGTTGGGTGTGAGCACCTGCAGTCGTGTGATGTCAGAAGATTTTACACTCTTGCTGACTGGTTGTGGTGTGAGCACCTGCAGTAGTGTGATGTCAGAGCATGTTACACTCTTGCTGACTGGTTGGGTGTGAGCACCTGCAGTCGTGTGATGTCAGAGGATGTTACACTCTTGCTGACTGGTTGGGGTGAGTACCTGCAGTAGTGTGATGTCAGAGGATGTTACACTCTTGCTGACTGGTTGGGACATGAGCACCTGCAGTAGTGTGATGTCAGAGGATGTTACGCTCTTGCTGGCTGGTTGGGGTGTGAGCACCTGCAGTGGTGTGATGTCAGAGGATGTTACTCTCCTGCTGACGGGATGGGATGTGAGCACCTGCAGTAGTGTGATGTCAGAGGATGTTACGCTCTTGCTGACTGGTTGGGGTGTGAGCACCTGCAGTAGTGTGATGTCAGAGGATGTTACTCTCTTGCTGACTGGTTGGGGTGTGAGCACCTGCAGTAGTGTGATGTCAGAGGATGTTACGCTCTTGCTGGCTGGTTGGGGTGTGAGCACCTGCAGTGGTGTGATGTCAGAGGATGTTACTCTCCTGCTGACGGGATGGGATGTGAGCACCTGCAGTAGTGTGATGTCAGAGGATGTTACGCTCTTGCTGACTGGTTGGGGTGTGAGCACCTGCAGTAGTGTGATGTCAGAGGATGTTACTCTCTTGCTGACTGGTTACTGTGTGAGCACCTGCTGTAGTGTGATGTCAGAGGATGTTACACTCTTGCTGACGGGTTGGGGTGTCAGCATCTGCAGTAGTGTGATGTCAGAGGATGTTACCCTCTTGCTGACTTGTTGGGGTGTGAGCACCTGCAGTAGTGTGATGTCAGAGGATGTTACACTCTTGCTGACTGGTTACTGTGTGAGCACCTGCAGTAGTGTGATGTCAGAGGATGTTACACTCTTGCTGACTGGTTACTTTGTGAGCACCTGCAGTAGTGTGATGTCAGAGGATGTTACGCTCTTGCTGACTGGTTACTGTGTGAGCACCTGCAGTAGTGTGATGTCAGAGGATGTTACACTCTTGCTGACGGGTTGTGGTGTGAGCACCTGCAGTAGTGTGATGTCAGAGGATGTTATGCTGTTGCTGACTGGTTACTGTGTGAGCACCTGCAGTAGTGTGATGTCAGAGGATGTTACGCTCTTGCCGACTGGTTGGGACGTTAGCACCTGCAGTAGTGTGATATCAAAGGGTGTTACACTTGCTGACTGCTTAATCTGAATTTGTATATTGAGAACAATGGCAGACATGTTGAGGAAGTTTTAGGAATAAAAGCTTTTTTTTTTTTTTTTTTTTTGCCTCTTTATAGGAAAGAATTTTTTTCTGTGAAGCATATGTAGGAGAAGTCCTGTCCATTTGGGCTGTGCCAAACTCTATGTCCAGGATTTTCAAAGGCAGAGTCTATGTTTGATCATTTCTGTGCTCATCACAGGGCCTTAAACACAGAGGATGATTTCTAAGTGTGAACTGTTATGTTTTAGGATGTTATTAACTATCATTACTGGTGTCTGATGCTGCTGAAGGGAAGAATGAGAAGAGCCACAGGATCTGGGGACTATGGTGGCCCCAAAGAGCTGTGTGAGCAGTTTCAATGGCATGGCCAGGGCTGAGGCTCAGGCAGGAAACTCAACTCCATGAGGGCAGGGATGGTGTCTTGTCTACCACCGATCCCAGTGTCTAGCATCAGGTCCGGAATATAATAGGATTCAATACATAATTATACTATTATAAATGAAGGGAAGAGTGAACAGAGTATCTCAAGATACTTGGCTAAGAAGGGAGAGGGGCTGTTTTCAGGGGGTTCAGCGTTGAGGGTCAGTTTTTACAGGAGAGATTTGATCAGAATGTGAAGAATCAGATCCAGACAAGCAGAGTGAGCAGGAAGAAAGGAAAACAAAGCTTCTTCCCTGGGGATGGGCGGGAGGAGGACGGGAAAGGTTCCAACTGAGTTGGACCTGCCATCAAATGTCAGTCTCTCAATGCTGAGCTCAGTTTATTATCAAACCACAAAAGCTTTCTTTTCCTGAAAACTTACTTGCAGTTCAGACTTTAATATGTAGAAGAGGATTATAAAGACTCAAAGATGAACTTTGGAGATATAGTTTTAAAGCCATTAATAAATCTCCATCAACTTCATTGAATATAAGAGTTAATCTGAGAAGAAACCAGTATAAAAGGGGGTAAAGAGTGAAGACGTAAAAATCAAGAATACTATATTTGGCTTTGTCACTAAAGACTTTCAGAGAAATTATTTATACCCCAGCTACTTCCAAGGAGGGCTTCAGCTGGCTTATAAAGGAAACATATATGCACAAGGAAGATAAAATCACAAAGCATGTTCGAGAAGGGAGATTATTATACAGGAACCAGAAAAGAAAGACTATAATTGAACAAAGAAATTGGCTTAGAGATTTATAGTCGGACTTTTTTTTTTGGAGATGGAGCTTCACTCATGTCGCCCAGGCTGGAGTGCAATGGCACGATCTCTGTTCACTGCACCCTCCGCCTCCCGGGTTCCTGCCTCAGCCCCCCAAGTAGCTGGGATTACAGGTGCACGCCACTGCACTCGGCTAATTTTTGTATTTTTAGTAGAGACGGGGTTTCACCGTGTTGGCCAGGCTGGTCTTGAACTCCTGACCTCCGGTGATCCGCCCGCCTCGGCCTCCTAAAGTGCTGGGATCACAGGCGGAGCCGCCGCGCCCGGCCTCTAGTCAGACCTTGTTATCCCCGCAACGCTACCAATTTGCAGATGAAGCCACTGCCGACACCTGAAAGAAGGCTGTCTTCAGACCCTTAAAAGCCACAGCAGTGACGACTTTACCACACCACAGCGGCCGGCAGGTTCTGGAGTAGAGCTGCGTACTCTCATCTGCCCTGGTACTTCGCTGGGGAAAGGAACACAGCATAAAATGCCACTGAATACGAGGCATCTCAAGCGGTAAAGGCGGCACAGGAAGCACATTCTCAGTGTGAAGTGGCCACCCAAGGACTGCAGGAACTCAGGCACCAAGGGCTGCAACTGGCCAGGTTTCTGCAGGTGAAGGGACTTAGGGCGGCTTTGAAGAAACTAGAGCTTTGATAAGGGGACTTGGGTGGGGAGGACACAACACTTGGGAGGTGGTGTTGGCAAAGGAGGCATCCGCATTGACGAACAGCTATGACAAGCTCCGAAGAGGGTGTATAAATAAGAGGTATGGCCAGGGAGGTTAGTGCTGGCAGAGGACTTACTGATGACATACTGTATTCCAGGAACTACACTTTTACAGGTGAATTAATTCATCTGGATTTAGGATACATGAAGGTCACTGAAGAGAGGGAAATAAAAATTGCACTTTAGGAAAAGTTAGCGGGTGGGTAGCTGGATCAGCAAGGGAGCAGATTAGAGGCTGGGAGATGATTTAAGAGGCTACTGTAATAATCCAGGCCTGGGTGGGGTAAGAACCTGGATTCGAGTGATGACAGTGGAAATGAGCACAAGAAAAAATATCACGCTCAGGAAGAATTAATAGCATTTGGTGTCTGATGGGAGGTGACCGAGAGAATATAAAGTATAACCATGATTAGCTACAAGTAGAAAAGTAGTTTAAAAGTTTAGTAAAGCTTTTTCCTAGGAAGGGTATGTCAGATAAACTAAATCTGAACCAAGCACTGAACTTTCAGAGAAAGGGATCTATCTAAAAGATGTCTTTTCTAGTCTTAAATACCACTAGGGAAGTAGATATTTTTGATCAGATGACACGCGATTTAGAAAACCTTTTTGTAGAGACTCAGCAGTGTGGAACATATGGGACTTTCATACACTGCGTCTTGTCTTTAGCTGTCCCATCTGTGAGGTAAATGTACCCAATTTTAGACATCCTAAAGAAGATAGATTACATCACTCTTTCTAATCTTTTCCACCATCAGAAAATTCATTATATCATTAATTCATTAGCAAATTTCATATTAATTGTTTTTTTGTACTGACTTGTGTATAAAGAAATTCATTCGACTGGGCGCAGTGGCTCATGCCTGTAATGCCAGCACTTTGGGAGGCCGAGGTGGGCGGATCACAGGTCAGGAGTTCGAGACCAGCCTGGCCAATGTGGTGAAACCCTGTCTCTACTAAAAATACAAAAATTAGCCGGGCATGGTGACAGGCGCCTGTAGTCCCAGCTACTCAGGAGGCTGAGGCAGAAGAATCGCTTGAACCCAGGAGGCGGAGGTTGCAGTGAGCCGAGATCGCGCCATTGCACTCCAGCCTGGTGACAGAGAGGCTTCGTCAAAAAAAAAAAAAAAAAAAAAAAAAAAAAAAAAAATTCATTCTACTGTAGTTATAAACCGTCCAGATGAAATTGGTTGTTAACAGTTGACTGGCAGAAATAGGATAAATATATGCGCAATACCAGTAGTTTATTTCTTCTTTCGGTAAACACCAGTATTTCCTAAGGATTACTCTGGAGCCGGCTGAAAGGAGGGACCTACAATTTCTTTAACACACAAGTGAGCCATCGCACTGTGGTTAAGATGGAGGAGACTGTCAAGGCCACGCGTGCCACCTGCACGTAGGAAAAGGCTGAGTGTGAGCATCGGTGGAACCAGGCCTCATCAAGGATTCCTTAAGCACACTGCACTAGAATTAGATTACTATAAATTGCATAAGTAATATTTAAAATGCGTAGAGGCTACCACCTAAAGAAAACAGTAATTTGGAAAAACAATCCTTTGTCTGGAATCCAACAAACCCCATTTTCTTAAAAGATCAGGGTTTTGTCTCCATGGACTGTTTTCTAAATTATAAGGATATGAGACAATCCCATCTTCAGCAATGGCCTGTGTGCAGTTCATTTTCTTCTCATTCACTGCTGTCCTAGACTGACTACATTTATTTCACCTAGGACATCAGTAATGAGTCAGGCAGCAGTCACTGGTACACCTAGCTACTGGATCATTAGTGTTTTTTCCTGAGGGCTTGAAATTCTGAAGTGCTCATTCTTGCAGTCATTCCTGCTTTCGACACAAATTTCTTCTGTAAACAGGCTCTTGGGATCCATCACTCTGCCTTTAAAATTTGTTTCATGACAGGCTCCTGTGCAACCAGCTAAGCATGTGGATGCTCACGGCACTGATGAAGTGGGGGCGTGGGGGTGGGGCCGGGCCCATCATGGCTTTCAGCATCAGAACCCCTTTTCTGCTTGCTGCCTCTTGTTCCTGTAGGTCTAGGGTGGCAAAGAAATACACAACTATCACGGGAACAAATGAAAATAACCCCAAAGTCCTTCAAGCAGTGAATGAATAGGCTGCGGTGAGTGCATCCACACAATGGAATACTGCTCAGCAATGAAAACCATGCATTCCTACCCAATACATTTTGCTAAGCCACACCCCAAACGCTACATTACACTCCATACGACATTCCGGGAAAGGCAAAACTACAGGCACTGCGAACAGATCGGCGGTTGTCACAGACTGGGGCTGAGAGGAGGTCTGGATTACACAGGGAAAAGCATCAGAGAATTTCTTTGGGACAGTGGGACTGTTTCGCAGTCTTGATTGTGGTGGTGATTACACGACTCTCTGCATGTGTCAAAACCTAGGATGATACACCAAAAAAGCGAATTTTACTGTAGACAAATTATAAAGATAGAAGACAGCAGCTTCCCCTGGGGTGGGAGTAGTGACCAGGCGGAAGCTGAGTTCACCTGGGGTGCCGGTCAGGCTCTATTTACTGAGCTTCATGATGGTTACACAGATGTTGTTTACCTGTAAAGAAGTATTAAGGTATATGTACACTATGTACATCTATGCATTTTACATGGATGTTATACTTCAATAAAGTCACCTGAGCCCCATCTCTGTTCATGATGCTGTTTAGTAGACGCTAGGGTTTATTGCTTTGCCAGCTCTTAGGTAACCATTTGGGGTGAAGTGGGGAAAGAGCCAGTGGTGGAAAGTTAGTTAAGTAGTGACTATTCCTAGTCAAAGACAAAATATTTTATCTGGGCGATTTAAGTAATACTTTTCACACTATTATTTTAGGCCTGTTTTGAGACTCTCCACAACTAATGTTCTGGAGAACTGCTAGGAGCCGTTGGGTCTAGGACCGTACAGAAATGAGAATGGCTTATGAAACCTTGATGCTTTCCAGTTCCATGATTGAGACTGAGCAAGGGTGGGCCACAACTCACAGCACCTTTGACAAAAAATAGGGATCCTTTGAAGAGAACAGCAAACATGATTATAGAAACTGAAATGTAAATAACTTAAATTCTGTTAAAGGAAATTTCCCTATAGGTGAAGAATGATAGATAATATTCTGAAACACAACCCTTCATAAGGGGAAGAATAGAAGTATCAAGTATCAGATGATACGATTGTGTGTGTGTGGGTTTTTTTTTTTTTTTTTGGGGACAGAGTCTCGCTCTGTCGTCCAGGCTGGAGTGCAGTGGTGGGATCTCAGCTCACTGCAAGCTCCGTCTCCCAGGTTCACGCCGTTCTCCTGCCTCAGCCTCCCGAGTAGCTGGGACTACAGGCGCGTGCCAACATGCCCGGCTAATTTTTTATATTTTTAGTAGAAACGGGGTTTCACTGTGTTAGCCAGGATGGTCTCGATCTCCTGACCTCATGATCCGCCCGCCTCAGCCTCCCAAAGTGCTGGGATTAGAGGCGTGAGCCACCGCGCCCGGCCGATTGTGTTTTGTATACAGCACTTCAGCCCTTACAACAATCCTGCAAGGTAGTCATTCAAATCCCATTTAAAACATTTGCAAAATTAAGGGTCAGGTTAATCTCCACAAGAGAAGCTGGAAGAATTCTAAGCCTCTGATTCCAAAGGAGAAGGGAATTAGCTTTTAGAGTGTTCTATGTGCTAGTTCCCTTTATCTGGAATCTTACTGATCCTCAATATGTCTCCATTTTACAGATAAGTAAACAGTTAAGAGGGATTATGTGACTTGCCTAAAGTTACGTAAGTGGCAGAGTGGCATTCAAATCAAGCTGATTCCACAGCCCACATTCTTCACATCAGAGGGCACTGCTGCCAAAGTCAGTGAGAGGTATACTGTGCAATTCTGGAGGGAGATAAATGGAATCTTAAACGTTAGACTTAACTACCAAATGCTCTACACTACGGTCGGGAAAGTGACACCCATGTTTTTCCCTGGTATCTTTCAAAATGCAACTTCTTCATTGTAATATAATAAATAAATGTACCAATATTTATAACAGCAGAAATTCAAACCTTCAGGGATTGAATAAACCACAAAATCCAGCTCTTAGAATGGGAGGAAAAGGAATTTGTATGGTAGGAAAACTATTTTCTAGGAGTCAGGAGTTAAAAGTTCTAATCCTGGCTCTGTCCAATTTGCAGTGTAACTTTGTAAAGCCATAGGGGTCTTTAGGCTTCTATTTTATCGCATGTAAATTAAGAGTATTCAAGGCAGAGAATCTTAGAAGATAACTGCTCTAATATCTTAGAAAACAAATTTTACTAATTACTAAAATTCCTGAATTGCCATCTTTGGAGTTTAAATACTATATAGTGTTTAGCAAGTATTTGTTAACCAGAGCGTATTTTGCTGGAATGAGCTCTGCAGGCTTGCTTCCATTATTATTATTATTATTATTATTTTTATTTTTTTGAGATGGAGTTTTGCTTGTTGCCCAGGCTGGAGTGCAATGGCGTGATCTCGGCTCACTGCAATCTCTGCCTCCTGGGTTCAAGCAATTCTCCTGCCTTAGCCTCCCGAGTAGCTGGGATTACAGGCATGCGCCACCACACCTGGCTAATTTTATATTTTTAGTAGAGACAGGGTTTCTCCATGTTCGTCAGGTTGGTCTCGAACTCCCAACCTCAGGTGATACGTATGCCTTGACCTCCCAAAGTGCTGGGAATACAGGCATGAGCCACCGCACCTGGCTTGCTTGCTTCCATTATTTATTGAAGAGTCCTAGGTAGTCACAGAACAGGAAAGCAACCAGATAGCTACAGCCAAATTTAAGAGGCATTTTTCTTTTTGCCAACTTAAAAAGGTATGAAGAGGCATATTAAAAAATATAGACTTTACAAAACGTGAAACAGTATTATTCTCTGGGTATTACAATAATGGACTCTTTTTTTTATAAATATTGTTTCAATTCCGGTTCTAAAAGGTTGTCATGTCACTGGCAGGGCTAGGCTATTCTGGTTCTGAAAGGTTCTTCCTTGGCACGTCACTGTGGCAGGGCTAGGCTGACTTGTTTCCCACAAATAGTCTTTTCAGCTGTGATGGGAGTCGCTTGTTTTGTGGGTCTGTCCTTACTAATTGTATGACTTTGGGCAAGGATTTTCATTTAAGAGTCTTTCCTTATTTGTAAAGCATTGCTAGAATAATAATTTAAGTTACAGTTCTTTACACAGTAGGGGGTGAAAAATGAGGCAGCCAAGTGTATTGGAAAGAATGTAGATTGGGGCAGAGAGGCTCGGATCCAAACACTAAGCACTGCCTCTTATTAGCTAAGTCATCTTGGGCAAGTGATTTAATGTAAACCTTACAGTGGGGCTAGTAACACCACCTTCTCTCTCTCTCTTTTTTTTTTAATTAAGAAGTACGATACTAAAGTGGCTATTGCATAATACTCAGCAATTAGTAATCTCATTATTGATAATCCTATACAATCTAGAAAGCTGCACGTATATTCTTACAAAAAAATCACTTAACAAGGACATCCAGAAAACAATGTTATGTAAATTTTAATATATAAATGGCATCCTTTTATAACCACTTGATATTTTACAACATGTGACTATTTGGTAAATACTTCAAAATAGCTTATGCTGCGGTCTTGTAAGGCAGTTTCTGAAGCTCTTGAGATTTTACAACAGTTTTCTTCATACTAGTGTGTTTCTATGTGGTTAACAACCTACGACATTTAGTCTAACAGCAGCACTGTGTATTTCAATGTGGTAACACACTCTGCTGCCTAACGGCTCTTGGATTCGGTTATAAGTTACATGATGCCTCAAATTGTTTCAAGAAAATGTTAGCTTGCAAAATATATTTTTTCTTTCAAAATTCAAGACACACTTAACATATGGATTTTACAATACAGTTTATTAGCTGTTCTCCTCTTCTTCATAAATGGAATGGATAATGTTGATAATTCTTTACAAACCAGTACTCATTTAAGAAACTAATGAGGAGGTTGTCAAAAACACATATTTAATAAACAACTCCAAAGAGCAATGGGAAGCCAAATATTATTATTAATATGAAGGACCAGAGAAACTGATTTGTGAAATAATTTCTACCTTTCACTAACATTTCTTAAAATTGCTCACCATGAAGATTTGTGCAATTCTAGTGCAGAGCAGTGGATGAAAGCTGTCTGAGGGGAAAACACACACATAAATGGGGCTTTTGCCTGCCTTCCTATTAATAAAAGGAGAACTAGAAGGAAAGGGCAAGGACCAAAATCAAACCTGATGACAAGAACAACAGTAACAACACGGACAACAACAAAAAACCTCAGGAACCATTTGAAAACCTTTGTAGAAAAGAGGAGAATATGCCCACACTTTTACTTATAATCTAATTTCCCTAAATGTTTCCTCCTCATGACCACCATGCCCCCATTTTCAGTTCACATGATTAAGGAAGATAAGTCTATTCAATTAATATTTAATTTAAAAACCAAACAAAAAGTTAGGAGTAGGTGGCAAAAGAAACAAAATATATTTTAAATATATATATATGTTTGTGTGTGTGCGCAACTATGTAAAGAAAATAATTCCCATAGTTACAGTTTAAAGAAAGTTTTATATATATATTTATATATATTTTATTATAACAAAATAGGCAGCTATTGTGGGTAAAATATTCAGTAAAATCTGACTCCTAAGAATACATTTGAAGTTTTAGGCTATGAATTGGACTCCTTTCCATTGCCATGATGGTTACTACGTCACCACTGTAACGTCTGATTTATCTGTATTTATATCTAGGAAATTTTCTCAATCTTCTGTGTAAAAGGCGAACTTCCTTAGCACCTGAACATGGCCTCAATTCACGAAATGTGATGATCATTTACATATGAACAACTTTTGTAAGACACGATAGTGTTGCTCAAGTAGATTAAAAACATTGAAACGTTGTTATTCCTAGCAAATGTCCTGGGAAAAAAGAACCGTCAAATACTAAAAGGCTTTAAGAATGTTGAGGAAAAAATGAAATCCCTTATGAAAGTCAACTCAGACATGAATTTTTAAATTAAAAAATGTCCTTATTTATCTATAATGAAACAATTGCTTTGATGATAGAAGTTGATTGAGAAAAGGACTTGAGAGTAATACACTGGCCAAACCATGCTATTAAACTGAAGCGTGCACAGTTGCTCAAAGTCTACTAAATCACTGATTAAAACCACTTTTTCATTTGTACTGAAATTTGAAAAGAATGTATATAAAGCTTTTCCAAAAATCTCTTAAAGTTACTTTCCCTTAAACATTAAGGAATTTTACCACAATTTCTGCGTCTCCCCACGTTCTTAATAGCTGGTCAGGCCATTCCATCTTCAGTTCTGAAAAATGGCCACTAACCAATAGTGACATTAAATAATACACACGATGTAACTTGAAGGAGACACTACATGTGAAAAAGAAGCTGCAGACCATGATGTGTGGGATACAATTCAACATGAAATCAGTACTCAAGAAAGACTCCAGAGGAAAGGGCAAAGAGATGCCAAAGAAAATGGAATTGTGGAAAAGAGAAACAGAGAAACATGAGTTTTCATAGCTTTTCTTTTGCCGGAACCCAGATGTAA
Source organism: Homo sapiens (assembly GCF_000001405.40). Classification (NCBI taxonomy): domain Eukaryota; kingdom Metazoa; phylum Chordata; class Mammalia; order Primates; family Hominidae; genus Homo; species Homo sapiens. The sequence goes on from NC_000003.12 coordinate 197,044,657, forward strand.
GAACCAGATTGTTCTTCTATGATCTGTTTCACTTGGTTGTAAATGTCTTCCAGCGTATCCCCCTGTACAATAGCTGTAATGATAGAAACAAAATCAGAAATCTCCATTAATTGTCTATTTTTGCCATTACAATTATTGATGAAATAGTAGAAGCTAGTATCTTTGAAAAAGTTACTCATCCAGGAAGAATCACCATTTACACACTGTTCACTTAGGAAAAAAGGCTCACTTCATTAATTTTCCTATTTATATAGTATAAAATTTTTATCTTAAAAATGGATCAAAAAGTAAGACTTGGAGATCTTTTCTTTTGTTCTTTTACCATCTGAGCATATATTAGCTTTATTATTTTAAAACAAATTATTTTCTTAACTTTCCTGATTTCTCCATAAACATATGTAGAAAAAAGGAAACTGGGTACAATCCCATAGACAGGATGATGTAAGGATAATTTTTTTTTTTTTTGGGGTAGGATCTTGGGGGAAAAGAGCTGATTACAGATTGATACTACTTTTTTCAGTTAAGCTAGCATGTCAGGTACTGTAGTGTAGGTGAATTGAGAGATACCTAAGCTAGCTTGTTAGTGGTTAGAGACTTAACAATCAATGTTTATTTGCTGTCTGAAATAATGTGTGAAAAAAAGAGTAACAATTACTAACAACTAATTCTTTGGGAATAGCTGAAGCCCCTGAGGTCTGTGAGGGATTAGTTAATAAAGCAAACAAACAAACAAAAACAAAGTATCGCTAGACAGCACTAAGCATGAGTAACTAACTTTTTAAGAAAGAAAGAAAATGTTTATGGTTGGGCATGGTGGCTCATGCCTGCAATCCTAGCACTTTGGGAGGCTGAAGTGGGAGGGTTGCTTGAGGCTAGGAGTTTGAGATCAGCCTGGGGAACATAGTGAGACCCTGTGTATTTAAAAAAAAAAAAAAATAGCTGGGCATGGTGGTGTGTGTCTGTAATCCTGGCTACTTGGGAGGCTGAGACAGGAGGATGATCTCTTGAGCCCAGGAGTTCACAACTGCAGTGAGCTATGATCGTACCATTGGATTGTACCATTTGCCTGGGTGACAGAGTGGAACCTTGTGTCTCGTAAAAAAGTTTACATATAAATGAAATAATTGAGAATTGCAAATTAAATAAGTCACTTACTAAACTACAAAAAAATGCCCAGTGATCTTGGAAGAGCATCATAGGTGTAGATTTCCATGGTCTGAAAAACTGAGCATAAAATGTCAAAGGGGGATTTTAAATAATACTGTCTATTTGGTACCTGAGATGATGTGCATAGAAGAAAGACGTTGTATGTAGGTAGGAAGCACTTATACATAGCTAGGAACGCCTGAATAACCAAGAATTTTCAGTAACATGATATTCGCTAGTATCAGTTTTGTGAGACTTCTACCTTTTGAGCTAAATGCAGACATGCCTCAATGTCCCTGAAGACTCAGTTCATTTGACAAAATACTTGGTTCGTGGGTTTGGCATCTTGATGCACCCCAACAGCACAGGACAGAATCCCAGAGCATTTCATAGTTTAGGTTGACAACAGCACGCAAGGATTTATTTTAGAGCATTTCATAGTTTAGGTTGACAACAGCACGCAAGGATTTATTTTAGGAGAAAACAGTCAGGAACTGACTTGGGAAATATACATTTTGCTTACTTTGTAAATTCATTAATGGAATGGTTAGTAAACCAGGGAAACTGGGAAAGCATAAGGCTGCAGACACCTTAACCATGTGATTAAAATTAGCATCATAAGTAACGGCACAAGTAGACTTTGTAAACCTCCTTGCATGATACACAGAGGACACATCATTACTTCATTGCTATTCCTGCCCCAAATGCAGAACCTAAATCGAATTATGAGAAAACATCAGATAAATCCAAATTGAGGGAGGGACATTTTATAAAAGAATGGGTCTTTGGCCGGGTGCAGTGGCTCACGCCTGTAGTCCCACCACTTTGGGAGGTCAAGGTGAAGGTGGGCGGATTGGATGAGTTTGAGACCAGCCTGGGCAACATGGCGAAATCCTGTCTCTACAAAAAATACAAAAATTAGCTGGGCATGTTGGCTGTAGCCTGTAGTCCCAGCTCCTTGGGAGGCTGAGGTGGGAGGATCACTTGAGCCTGGGAGGTGGAGGTTCCAGTGAACTGAGATCGCACCATTGCACTCCAGCCTGGGTGACAGAGTGAGACCCTGGCTCAAAAAAAAACAAAAGACAAAAAACAAAACGAAACAAAAAACAAAACGAAACAAAAAACAACAAAAAATCCCCCCTAGTGTTTTTACTCTTAAAAAATGTCAGTCAGGGTCATGAATAACAAGACTTGGGAACGATTTCAGATTAAAGAACATTAAGGATGTGATAATCCAATACAGCACGTGAGCCTCCGCTGGATCCTGCACCAGAACAGAAAAACCATTTTTTTCCATTTTGCTCTAAAGAGATTAGAAGAATAGTGAAATACTAATAAGATCTATAGTTAGATGAGACATATAATTATTAAATTTCCTGATTTTGATAATAAAACTATGATTCTATAAGGGAATATCCCTGTTTTTTAGAAAATACACACTGAAATATTTAGAAGTAAAGGGACATCTACCTGAAACTTACTCTCAAGTGTATCAGAAAAAAACCTATAAATGTGGTAAAATGTTAACACTTGAGGAATTTGGGTGAAGGGTACATGAAACTCCCTGTACTATTCTTGTAACTTCTATTTAAGTCTGAAATTAGTTTGAAAAAAATAAGAAAGCACAAGGTTTAAAAACCATGACCCTTACTGATACTCAGTGTGAATGTCAAATTTAGGCTGATATTATTTCAAACAAACAAGTAACAACAACAAAAATGTCCAAAGACTTGAGGAGGAAGTTAAAGGACAAGGCGAGTAAAATAAGAATATTGGGGAGTTGCTACCTACTTTTTTTTTTTTTAAACAAATAGTATTTCAAAACGGATCAAAGGGCAACTAATCATTAAAAAGGGGCCAAGACTACACAATAGGGAAAGGCTAGTGTCTTAAATAAATGGTGCTGGAAAATCTGGATATCCACATGCAAGAGAACGAAACTAAACCCTTATCTTATACAAAATTAACTTGAAATAGACTAAAGACTTAAATGTAAAACCAGAACCATAAAACTCCTAGAAGAAAACACAGGGAAAAAAGCGCCTTCACACTGGTCTTGGATGATTTTTTGGAAAGCACAGGCAGCAAAATAAAAAATCATCAAGTGGGATATTAAATAAAAAATCTACACAGCAAAGGAACAATCAACAAAATGAAAAGGCAACCTATGGAAGAGGAGAAAATATTTCCAAACATGCAATTGGTAAGGGGTTAATATCCAAAATATATAAGAAAATCATTAGCAAAATACCAAATAATCCATTTAAAAAATGGGCAAAGGACTGGAATCGACATTTTTCCAAAGAAGACATACAGATGGCCAGCAGGTATCAGTAAAAGTGCTCAACCTCATTAATCAGAGCAACAGAAACCAAAACCATAATGAGGCTGGGTGCAGTGGCTCACGCCTGCCATCCTAACACTTTGGGAGGCTGAGACGGGCAGATCACTTGAGGCCAGGAGTTTGAGACCAGTCTGACCAACATGGCAAAACCCTGTCTCTACTAAAAATACAAAAATTAGCCGGGTGTGGTGGCATGTGCCTGTAATCCCAGCTATTCAGGAGGCTGAGGCATGAGAATCGCTTGAACCCAGGAGGCAGAGGTTGCAGTGAGCTGAGATCATGCCACTGTACTCCAGCCTGGGTGACAGAGCAAGACTCTGTCACAAACACACACGCAAACCATAATGAAATATCACCTTAGACCTGTGTGGATGGCTGTTATCAAAAAGATAAGAGATAACAAGTAGGCAATGGTATGAAGAAAAGGGAACCCTGTACACTGTTGGTGGGAATGTAAATGAGTAAAGCCATCACAGAAAATAGTGTGGACATTCCTCAAGAAATTATTATTACTATTATTATTTTTGAGACAGAGTTTCACTCTTGTTGCCCAGGCTGGAGTGCAATTGTGCGATCTTGGCTCACTGCAACCTCCGCTTCCCAGGTTCAAGCAATTCTCCTGCCTCAACCTTCCAAGTAGTTGGGATTACAGGCATGCACCACCACGCCCGGCTAATTTTGTATTTTTAGTAGAGAAAAGGGGTTTCGCCATGTTGGTCAGGCTGGTCTCGGACTCCTGACCTCAGGGGACCTGCCCACCTGGGCCTCCAAAAATGCTGGGATTACAGGCATGAACCACTGTGCCCAGCCACCTCAAAAAATTAAAAACTGAGTTATTATATGATCTAGCAATCCCACTACTCGATATATATACAAAGGAAAGGAAATTGGGCCAGGCGTGGTGGCTCACACCTGTAATTCCAGCACTCTGGGAGGCTGAAGCAGGCGGATCACTTGAGGTCAGGAGTTTGAGACCAGCACGGCCAACCCTGTAACCCTGTCTCTACTAAAAATACAAAAATTAGCTGGGTGTGGTGGCATGTGCCTCTAGTCCCTGCTACTTGGGAGGCTAAGGCAGGAGAATCAACAGAACCCAGGAGGCGATGGTTGCAGCAAGCTGAGATCACACCCGCATTCCAGCCTGGACAACAGAGTGAGACTCTGTCTCAAAACAAAACAATAAAAAACAAAAAGCCAACAACAACAAAAAGAAAACCAAAGGAAAATAAATCAGTATGTTGAAATCTGCACTCCTATGTTCACTGCAACATAATCAACAATAGCCCAGATATGAAAATCACCTAAGAGTCTGTCAAAAGATGAATGAGCCGGGCCCGATGGCTCACGCCTGTAGTCCCGGCACTTTGGGAGGCCAAGGCGGGCGGATCACCTGAGGTCAAGAGTTCGACTAGCCTGACCAACATGGGGAAACCCCATCTCTACTAAAAATACAAAATTAGCTGGGCATGGTGGCACATGCCTGTAATCCCAGCTACTCAGGAGGCTGAGGCAGGAGAATCGCTTGAACCCGGGAGGTTGTGGTGAGCTGAGATCATGCCATTGCACTCCAGCCTGGGCAGCAAGAGCAAAACTCCATCTCCAAAAACAAAAAAGATGAATGAATAAAGAGAATATTGTAGGCCAGGTGCAGTGCACCTATAATCCAAGCACTCTGGGAGGCCGAGGAAGAACGATTGCTTGAGCCTAGGAGTTTGAGACCAGCCTAGGCAACATAGCGAGACCCTGTCTCTACAAAAATAAAAAATTAGCCAGGTGTGGTGTTGCACGCCTGTAGTCCCAGCTACTAAGGAAGCTGAAGAGAGAGAATTGCTTGAGCCCAGGAGGTTGAGGCTGCAGTGAGCCATGATCATGACACTGTACTCCAGCCTGGGCAAGAACAAAACCCTGCCTCAAAAACAAACAAACAAAACCAAAAACAGGCCGGGCACGGTGGCTCACGCCTGTAATCCCAGCAATTTGGGAGGCCGAGTCGGGTGGATCACGAGGTCAGGAGATCAAGACCGTCCTGGCTAACATGGTGAAACCCCATCTCTACTAAAAATACAAAAAATTAGCTGGGCGTGGTGGCAGCTGCCTGTAGTCCCAGCTACTCGGGAGGCTGAGGCAGGAGAATGGCGTGAACACGGAAGGCGGAGGTTGCAGTGAGCCGAGATTGCGCCACTGCACTCCAGCCTGGGCGACAGAGCCAGACTCCATTTCAAAAAAAAACAACAACAAAAAAAACCCCCAAAAAAACCCAACAACAAACAACAACAAATATATATATATATGTATGTATGTATGCATGCATATGGTATATATACAACAATGGAATATTTTATTAGGCCATAAAAATGAAAATCCTATCATCTGCAACAACCAACATGAGTGAATGTGGAGGACCTTATGCTATATGAAATAAGCCAGACACAGAAAAGCAAATACTGTATTTCATTTATACGTGGAATCTAAAAAAGTAGAACTCATAGAAACAGAGAGGTGGTTTCCAGGGACTGCAGAGTAGAAGAGATGGGGAGATGTTAGTGAAAGGGCACAAACTTTCAGTTTTAACATGAGTAAATTCTGGGGATCTAATATACAGCAGTAGTGACTATTGTTAATAAAGAGTAGATCTTAAGAGTCTTCCCTACACACACAAAATGGTAACTGTGTGGTTAAAGACATGTTAATTTGATTGTGTTAATCAACTTACAATGTACACATTTATCAAATCACATTATATGCCTTGAATATATACGAATTTTGTCAATTATACCTCAACATGGCTAGAGAAAATGGATCAAAATTTATAAAGGATAAGAGAAAAATCAGAGTTTCATAGAAGAAATGAAATCTAAATCTATTTTTCTCTGGTCAAGTATGAATTATTCCTGTTTTTGTTGTTCTAATCAATAACCTAAGAAACATTAAATTTCAAGATTCCTGGCTGGGCAGGGTGGCTCACCGCTGTAATCCTAGCATTTTGACAGGCTGAGGCAGGTGGATCACCTGAGGTCAGGAGTTCGAGACCAGCCTGACCAACACGGCGAAACCCCATCTCTACTAAAAATACAAAATTAGCTGGGCGTGGTGGCAGGTGCCTGTAATCCCAGCCACTCGGGAGGCTGAGGCAGGAGAATCGCTTGAGCCAGGGAGGCCCCAGCTACTCGGGAGGCTGAGGCAGGAGAATCGCTTGAGCCAGGGAGGCGGAGGTTGCGGTGAGCCGAGTCATACCATTGCACTCCGCTTGGGTGACAGAGCGAAACTCCGTCTCAAAAAAAAGGTTCCCCAGCACCACTGCCTAGGCTGGATGATACTAGTTACTACGGGTAGATGTAGGCATAGTTCAAAATCCACCTGAACGGGTCGGTTCACATGGCTTCAAAGCAAAATTCTATCTTAAAGAGGACTGTTACAACACGGTTCCAACCTGTGAAATGTTCAGTAAACTCCTGTTCCAGTTTCATGGCTCTCTCAAATGTTTTTCTGGCTTGTTCTTCTGTTAGACGCTTATTCATTTCCCTACGAAAATAAATGTAGAAATTGATAATTACCAAATTATAATACTTTTAAAAAAAAGATGGCAAAGGAGAGATGACACATAAAATAGAAAATCATGAAAAGTTGAACTCTGCTGAAAATATGAATGTCATTAAAAACTTGAGTCATTCTGGTCATTTCTGGGAATTTTTTTTTTTTTTTTTTTTTTTTTTGAGACAGTGTCTGACACTGTCACCCAGGCTGGAGTGCAGTGGCACGATCTCAGCTCACTGCAACCTCCGCCTCCTGGGTTCAAGTGATTCTCCTGCCCCCATCTCTCAAGTAGCTGGATTACAGGCATGCGCCACCACGCCTGGCTAATTTTTATATTTTTAGTAGAGATGGGGTTTCACCAAGTTGGGCAGGCTGGTCCCGAACTCCTGACCCCAGGTAATCTGCTCGCCTTGGCCTCCCAAAGTGCTGGGATTACAGATGTGAGCCACCGAGCCCAGCCTGTTTCTGGGATTTTTAAAAATAAAAATAATAGGCTGGACATGGTGGCTAATACCTGTAATCCCAGCATTTTGGGAGGCCAAGGCAGGTGGATCACTTGAGGTAAGGAGTTCAGGGCCAGCCTGGCCAACAAGACGAAACCCCGACTCTACTAAAAATATAAAAATTAGCTGGGTGTGGTGGCGCATGCCTGTAATCCTAGCTACCTGGGAGGCTAAGGCAGGAGAATCGCTTGAACCCAGGAGGCAGAGGTTGCAGTGAGCCGAGATCGTGCCACTGCACTCCAGTCTGGGTGACAGAGCGAGACTCTGTCTCCACAACAACAAAATAAATAAATAAATAAACAAAAATAAAAAAATAAAAACTAGATTTAGTCACTGAATATGTTGCTGTATACTTGGAATGACAGAGGGTTTTAACAAATTCTGCATCAGCTCAGTGTAGCCAAAAAACCTATTCATTAATTTATGATACTTTTGACTTTGATGAAAATTTCATATTAAAGTGACTTAGAGATCTACCTATCAGTTTACAGAAAATAAGGGGACAAACAACCATATAAATAACACCATGAGAAGGTAATCAGAAAATACAGTCTGGGGAAACATCTGCAGAAGAAATGACCTGGTTTCTATCACAAATAAATGGGAGGTGTGGCGGGGTGGGGGCATAAAAGAGAGATGTGGAGAGAGAATCTATAGGTTAAACAACTTAACCAACTGCCATGAATAGATCTTACTAAAAATTTTATTCCAACAAACTGAAGAAACACAAACAAAACTTATGAAATAACCAGCAACATTTGAACTTTATCAAATAATTATTATTTTAAGTATGATAATCAGTGACTTTTTGTAAGAAATTATCTTTCAAATACACAGTGATGTACACAGACAAAATGATAGGAATGTCTGAGACTTGTTTCAAAATAATCTGGAATGAAGGTGTAAGGAGGTGGGTGTGAGTGGAGAGAAACAAGATTGGTCATAAGTGGATAATTATTGCTGCAGCTGGATGATGAGTATAGAGTTCGTTCCCAACTTAAAGGAAAGCCTTCAATATTTTGCCATTAATTATGACGTTTGCTTTGATATTTTGTAGAGTTACTGTCTAGTACTCTTTCATCCCACCCTACAAAATTCTCTGCAGCATTTCTCGTAAGGGAGGACTACAGGTAATAAACTCTTTCAGTTTTAATTTATCTGGGCATGTGTTAATTTCTCCCTCATTTTTGAAGAATAGATTTGCCAGATATAGGATTCTTTGTTGACAGTTAAATTTTTTTTTTTTCCTTCAGTGTTTTGAACCCACTGTTTTCTGGCCTCCAGAGTTTCTGATAAAATATCTGCTGGCAGGGCATGGTGGCTCAAGCCTGTAATCCCAGCACTTTGGGAGGCCGAGGCAGGCGGATCACCTGAGGTCAGGACTTCGGGACCAGCCTGGCCAACATGGTGAAATCCCGTCTCCACTAAGAATACAAAAATTAGCAGGGCACAGTGGTGAGTCCCTGTAATCCCAGCTACTAGGGAGGCTGAGGCAAGAGAATCACTTGAACCCGGGAGGCAGAGAGGTTGCAGTGAGCTGAGAATGAGCCACTGCACTCCAGCCTGGGAGACAGAGTAGACCCTGTCTCATAAAAAAAAAAAAAAAAAAAATCTGCTGATTGCTGGGCAAGGTGGGTATTTATTTACACCTGGAATCCCAGCACTTTGGAAGGCTGAGGTGGGTGGATCACTTGAGCTCAGAGTTCGAGACCAGCCTGGGAAACATGGCAAAATCCTGTCTCTCTAAAAAATACAAAAATTAGCCAGGCGTGGCGGTGCATGTCTGTAGCCCTAGCTGCTTGGGAGGCCGAGGTGAGAGGCTGCTTGAGCCCAGGAAGTTAAGACAGCAGTAACCTGGGTAAGCAGCGAGCCACTGCACTCCAGCCTGGGTGACAAAGCGAGACCTTGTCTCAAAAAACAAACAAACAAAAACAGTGACTGATAATCTTATTGGGAAATCCCTTGTGTGTGGTAAGTTGCTGCTTTCAAGATTCTCTCTGTATTCTGACACTTTGATTATAATGTGCCGCAGTGTGGGTATCTAAGTTTATCCTGCTTTGAGTTCATTGACTTTCTTGGATTATATTCACGTCTTTCATCACATTTGGGATGTTTTTGGCCATTATTTCTTCAAACAATCTCTCTGCCTTCTCTCTATTCTCCTTCAAGGACCTCCACAATGTGTACGTTGACTGCTTGATGGTGTCTTATAGGTCCCTTAGGCTCTGTTCACTTTTCTTCAGTCATTTCTCTGTTTCGCAGACTAAATAATTTCCATTGTTGTATCTTTAAGTTAAAACTTGTTGATTCTTTCTTCTGTCTGCTCAAATCTCCCTGAATCCCTGTAGTGAATTTTCCATTTCAGTTATTTTTACCTCCAGAATTTCCTTTTGGTTTATTTTTAGGTTTTTTATTTCTTTGTTGATATTTCCATTTTGTTCATGTATCTTTTTCATCTTTTTTTTCCTTTATCTTTTTGGAGACAAGGTCTCCCTCTGTTGCTCAGGCTGGAGTGCAGTGGTGTGATCTCGGCTCACTGCAGCCTTGACCTCCCAGGCTCAAGAGATCCTCCCACCTCAGCTTTGCATGTAGCTGGGACCACAGGCTCGTGCCACCATGGCCAGCTAATTTTTGTTTATTTTTTTTTTTGAGACGGAGTTTTGCTCTTGTTGCCTAGGCTGGGGTGCAATGGTATGGTCTCTACTCACTGCAACCTCCGCCTCCTGGGTTCAAGCGATTCTCGTGCCTCAGCCTCCCAAGTAGCTGGGATTACAGATGCCCGCCACCACGCCCAGCTAATTTTGTATTTTTAGTAGAGATGGGGTTTTGCTATGTTGCCCAGGCTGGTCTCGAACTACCGAACTCAGGTGTTCTGCCTGCCTCGGCCTCCCAAAGTGCTGGGGTTACAGGCGTGAGCCACTGCGTCTGGCCAATTTTTGCTTACCTTTTATAGAGGCAAGGTCTCACTATGTTGCCCAGGCTAGTCTTGAACCACGGAGTTCAAGTGATCCTCTCGTCTCAGCCTTCTAAGTGCCAGGATTATAGGCATGAGCCACTGCGCTGGGCCTATCACTTTCTTGAGACTTTGTCCATGTCTTTTAGCTCATTTAGTATCTTGTTTTACAGTCTTTATTAAGTCTAACTCTTTCTCAAGTATAGTCTTTCTCAGGGATAGTTTGTTTATTTTTCCTTTGAATGGGCTATATTTTCCTGTTTCTTCGTATGTCTTGTGATTTTTTTGTGGGAAACTACACATTTAAATCTTACAATGTAAGTAACTCTGGAGAACGAATTCTCTTCCTTTCCCAGGGTTTGCTGTTTTATTTAAAATTTAATTTTATTGTTTACTGTTGCAAGGTGTTTCTGTACCAGGAATCAGCCTGAGGTGTAAACTTAGGGTCTTTTCAGGTATTTTCTAAGCCTGTGATTTTCCATGGATATGAAAACCTCCCCTCATATACTTTTGAATGTCCTGGTCTGGCCCCCAAAAGGGGAGGGGGAAAAAAGGTGTGTGTGTGTGTCTGTGGTGTGGGGGGAAGAGGGAAGCACTAGCCCTTTGTTTTTACTTAATATTTTTTCTTTCTCCTCACTAATCACCACTGAAGGCAATGGCCCTTTAAATCTTTAAGTCACTTCAGCCTCAAGTGGAGGGGCTTGTAACAGTGGCAGTGGGGTTTGCAACAATGGCTCACTGTATGGCTGCACCTCCATGATCAGAAGCAGTAATTAGCTATCAGAGCAAAGATTCCTGCTATTTGGAGGACAGAATCCTTATTGTCCACACTGGCTCCCACAAACCCTATGCAAAGCTGCTTGAAAATGTGTACATGGCTACATGCTATGGGACTGAGGGTAGACGAACAGGTAGTTGCTACCATGTTAAGAGCTGAAATTAACCTTTCAAACCTTCCCCTGGAAGTCATAAGCCTTCAATAGACTTCAGAGTTCCCAACCTGATAAAAATGGTGAACAGAGATCCGAAATAGTAACATCAGACAGATTCTGCCAGTGCAGTTGTCGTCTGGGTGGGGAGACAGATTCCCAGAGCTTCCTACTCTGCCATCTTCCCTCTAGCTCCATAACTGATTAGTTTTTAAATGCTGCAGCAGTGTTGCATACCAGGAATATACCCAACTTGGTTGTTACATTTTGCCTTATTAAAAAAATTGTTTGATTCAATTTGCTCCTATTTTGGTAAGGGTTCTTGCAATCTATAGTCATAATTAAGACTGACTTTATCATTTTCCTTTCCTATATAGTCCCTTCCAGGTTTGGGTATCAAATTAATGCTCATAAATTAGTTGAAAAGTTTGTATAAAATTGACATAGCTTCTTAGCTTTTGGTAGAATTTAGTAAGTCTGCTTGGCTTAGTATTTAATTTGTGGAAAGGCTTTTTATGACGGGTTCAAGTCTTTAATAAGTACTAGATTATTTAGGTTTTCTATTTTTCTTTTCCTTTTCTATTTTTTCCTTAACATTTTCTGAAGTATATGTTTCAAACACAGATGAGCAATATTAGAAAAATCGTATCATACAGCTTGTTACATTTTCACAAACTTACATGTACCTGTATACTTAGGTCAAGACACAGAGCATGACTAGGACCCCAGAATCTGGGTGTGCTCACTCTAGTCACCAACCCATTCTTACAGGGTAACCTCTATTTGACTTCTATGAGCAATTATTAAATTTGGAGTCACAGAGTATGTATATCTTTAGGTCTGGGTTTTTGTTTTTAACTCAAATTGTACTTGTGAGATTCTTCTATACTTCTGTATGTGGCTGGAGATTGCTCACATTATCACAGAATGTTTCATTGTGAACATGTCATAATTTATTTACATATTCTACTCCTGATAGTATTTGGGTAGTTTCTAGTTTTTAGTTACTGACTCTTTGTTTTTTTTTAGAGACACGGCCTCACTCTGTCACCAAGGCTGGAGTGCAGTGGTGCAAGCATAGCTCACTACAGCTTGGACAGAACTCCTGGGCTCAAGGGATCCTCCTGCTTCGGCCTCCTAAGTAGCTGGGATTACAGGAATGCACCACCACATCCAGCTACCTTTTAAAGTTTTCTGTAGAGACAGGATTGTGCCATGTTGCTCAGGCTGGTCTCCCAACTCCTGACCTCAAGCAATCCTTCTGTCTTGGGCTCCCAAAGTGTCAGGACTACAGGTGTGAGCCGCCGCACCTGACAGTCGTTGACTATTTGAACAGTACTGTCATCACGCTTGTACCTGTCTTTGTAAACACAGGTAAGCGTTTCTGTGGAGTGTGCGTCTAAGAATATGACTTCTGGGTCATAACTCGTGCATGTTCAGCTTTAGGAGACACTATGATACTATCAACAGTTTACCAATGAAGATGCACCAATCTGCACCCCTAACACTGTTACGAGTTTCAGTTGTTCCACATCTTTGCCAGCATTAAATATTTTGTCTTTTTCATTTTTTTAACCTGTATTTCCATGATTAGTTGGGCACTATCTCACAGGCTTATTCTTTGGAGATTCTCTTTTGTGATGTGTCCAAGCCCTTTGTCCCTTTTCCTGTCAGGCTGCCTCTGTTGATCTCTTTGGTGTCTGCTGCATGTGTAGTCATATCCTCTTTGTCTTGCCTGATATTCACATTGATATGCCTTCTTTCTTTTCTTGATCACTCCTAATGGTTTATTGTATTTTATTTTCAAAGAGAACACTTTTGGCTTTGTTGATCCTCTTTATCATATGTTTGTTTTTTCTATTTCATTAATTTCTGCTCTGCCATATTTTTTATTTTTAAATTTTTAAATATTGTTTTCTTTTTTTTTTCCTTGGGACAGGGTCTCGCTCTGTCACCAGGCTGGAGTGCAGTGGCAAGATCTTGGCTCACTGCAACCTCTGCTCCCTGTGCTCAAGCAATCCCCCCATCTCAGCATCCCAAGTAGCTGAGACCACAGGCGCACACCACCATGCCTGGCTATTTCTTTGTATTTTTAGTAGAGACAGAGTCTCACCATGTTGCCCAGGCTGGTCTTGAACTCCTGAACTCAAACAATCCGCCCACCTAGGCCTCCTGAAGTGTTGGGATTATAGGGGCCGGCCGTTGTGCCCCGCCTTCTTTTTCAGTTTCTCAAAATCTTAGATTTTCAACTTTCCTAATATTTGATTTTCAACATTCTTTCCTAACATTTAAAGCTGTGTGTATTCCTTCAAAGCTGTGTGTATTCCTTCAACAAAGCTATGAAAGCCTCCAAACTCTACTTGGCAATTCACTACTATTTAGTTCAAAACATCAATTTATTCTGTGATTTCTTCTTTGACTCACTCAGAAGCATAATGCTTAATTTCCAAATACATGAGGATTTTCTAGTTATCTTTTAATTATTGGTTTCCATTTAAATTGCATTATGGTCGGAGAGTATTTGTTTTCTATCCTTTGAAATTTGTAATCTAGCAAATGATCAGTTTTAGTAACTGTTTCATGTACACTGGAAATCCATGTGTCTCTTGCAGATGATGAGTGCAGTGTTTAACAGATGTCAAATAGGTAAAGTTTTAAATTTGTGTTATTCCATACCTTCACTGATTTTTATATTTGTTTTCTTATTTAATTGCTTCTGTCCCTCTCGATGATGTTGGAATTACTTTTCGCCCCTATGCAGCTGTCAATTTTTATTTTTTGTTTTGAGAATGCTATGAAGTGCAAACAAATGTACGAACAGATCTTCCTGTTGGAGTGAATATTTTACTTTTATGAAATGTCACTCTTTTTAGTTTTTTGAGATGGATCTCGCTCTGCCGCCCAGGCTGGAGTGCAGTGGCGAGATCTCGGCTCACTGCAAGCTCCGCCTCCTGGGTTCACGCCATTCTCCTGCCTCAGCATCCCGAGTAGCTGGGACTACAGGTGCCCGCGACCACGCCCGGCTAATTTTCTGTATTTTTAGTAGAGACGGGGTTTCACCGTGTTGGCCAGGATGGTCTCGATCTCCTGACCTCGTGATCTGCCCGCCTCAGCCTCCCAAAGTGGTGGGATTACAGACGTGAGCCACTGTGCCCAGCCATGAAATGTCACTCTGAAGCTAAGTAATACTTCTTGCCTTAAAGTATATTCGTCAGCCATATAAAAATCAGCCTAGTTTAGCATGGTATATCTTTTCCTATTCTCTTACTTTCAACCTTCCCATAGCCTAATTTTTAAGGTGTGTCTGATGAAAGCCACATATAATTTACTTTTTTCTTCACCCCTTGTCTTTTAATTGGAACATTTAGTCTAGTAGTCTATTATTTGCTTTAGTTTATACCATCTCACTATTTATATGGTTCTGCCTCACATTCTGTGTTTCTATTTGTTCTTTCTTAATTTTTACTTAGATTCTATTTTTTTGTCCCCTGAAAGTATTAGGTAATGGTTATACATTCTTTTATTCTCTTAATGGTTACCTGAGAGCTGTGCTGCGTACTTCAGTAGCCACTAGTCACACGTGGGGCTATTTAAAGTTCTAACACATGTTACCTTATACTTTAGTAATATTAATGATGATGATTACAATGACAATTTATAACCCATAGTGCTTATTTAATCCTCACCACATAATCTGAGGTGAATAAACATACTACTATTATCTCAATTTTATAGATAAACTGAGATGCAGGGAGAGTAAATAAATTACCCTACAGTGACTGAATTTGTACACAGAGGCTATGCCTTAGGCATTTACACTTACATGATATTTTCCATGGATTTGGGTTTAATAAAAATGGAGATAGGGTAAAGCTGTGCAATCTGTAATCTCTTTATGGCATTTCCAGACACATCAAGGATACAGTGTTTGCCCTAAAATAAAGGGAACAAAGAAAAAAAACAAGTGAGCCAAATATTCTCAATAATATCAAAGGTACTTTTCCTACAGGTCCACAGTCTAAATCATGATCTGTTTCGATCCTTGTTCACTTTTAGTAAACTTGTCATTTCTCTCAGCAAACTTTAGATAGGAAATGAAATGGCTGAATATGCATAATTAATTTGCCATTTTCAAACAAATGTTATATTTAAAAAGGAATGAAAATACAGTTCCTAGTTTTCACGGATCAGTTATTTCTCAAAATGGTGAAAAATAGAGCTCCCCCGCCGTTCCCTTTTTTTAAAATTTAAGGGACGGGGTCTTGTTCTGTTGACCAGGCTGGTCTTGAACTCCTGGGGCTCAAGTGATCCTCCCACCTTAGCCTCCCGAAGTGCTGGGATGATAGGCATGAGCCACTGTGCCAGGCCCAGGTTCCTATTTTTCATTCTGCCAAGAAAAGTTATTCATTAAGACTCCAAACTACCATCTCCCCATAGCTATCATTTCATAAAAGATAAAAAACCCTAGAGTAAGGGCAAACCTTTTAAATAAACAAATTTGTGAAACCTCATTGCCACTACTCAATCCTTCTATTTCTCATTTTATTAGGGACTGACAAAAACTCATAAACTAGCATATGGGACCCCAGTTCTGGATTTAAATGACAACTTTTCTGACAAGCTTAAACTCACTGACAAAGGATACTTAGGTTTTTAATACAGATGAGCATTTCCATGTTAAGCATAGTATTTATTATTTATGACAGATTTTCTTCTAATACATTTGAAATCAGGCCCTCCCCGATAATGCAACTTCAGTTTTTTGTTTGTTTGTTTTTGAGACGAAGACTTGCTCTGTCACCCAGACTTGAGTGCAGTGGCATGATCTCGGCTTACTGCAACTTCCGCCTGCTTCAGCCTCCCCAGTAGCTAGGACAACAGGTGTGCGCCACCACACCCAGCTGATTTTTGTGTTTTTTGTACAGATGGGGTTTCACCATGTTGGTGAGGCTGGTCTCAAATTCCTGACCTCAAGTGATCCACCCACCTTGGCCTCCCAAAGTGCTGGGATTATAGGCGTGAGCCACCATGCTCAGCCCCATAATGCAACTTCTAACCCAAGGACTTGAGTCCAAGTCAATACATGATAATTTCAATTTGGTGGGCACATTTAAAATAAAAAATTTAATACTGTAAAATACTCCAAACATATAGAAAAGTAAATAATAGACACCATGTACCCATTATCTACTTTCATCAGACATAAATATTTTACATGATCGCTTAAACATTTTAATAACTTGATACTGAAATATTAATATTCTAGGTTTGCTTTAACTCTTTCTATATATGTACATAATAGTTTGAGAATAAACTGCATAATGCTCCTTCACCTCGTATTTCTTAAAAACAATGGCATCTCTTACATAATCACAATATGATTCCAAGTGGCCATCTAATGTTCCTTATTGGAAAAGAGTAAAAAAATGTCCTGGTCAAGGATCGAATTCAGGATCATAGGATCACACATTGTATTTAGTTGTAAAGTCTCCTTAGTCTCCGTCAATCTGACACAGTTCCTCAGTCTTTTGTCTTTCTTGATGTTTTTGAAGAGTATAAAATATTTATATCATAGAATATGCCTCATTCTATGGGTTTATGGGTTTGTGTGTTTACTCACTCTCGGATGGCAGGTTACACATTTTTGGCAGGAATACTACAGACATAATGTGTGTCCTTCTTAGTCCATCATATCTGGGAGGCGATATTATATCTATTTGTCCCATTATTAGTGATCCTAATTTTGATCACTTGTTTAAGGTTTTATCTGCTAGGTTTCTCCACTGTAAAATTATCATTTTTACCTTTGTAACTGATAAGTATTTTGGGGGAGGACACTTTGAGACTATATAAATATCCCTTTTTTCATCAAATGTTCACTAATTTTAGAATACACTGATGGTTTCTGCCGGAAACAATTACCACCATGCGGTTTTCAAAAGATTTTCTAATTTAATCATTTCTTCTACCTTGATTAGTAGACAGTCCAAAGCGTTCCCTTCTATCCACTTACTTACTCACATACAGATGCTCCTTATGATGGGAGTTACGTCCCAATAAACCCATCACAAGTTGAAAATACTGTAAATTGAAAATGCATTTAATATACCTACCCTACTGAACATCATACCTTAGCCCAGATTACCTTAAATGTGCTCAGAACACTTACTCTACAGTCGGACAAAATCATCCAACATGCCTGTTTTATAATTAAGTGTTGAATTTTTCATGTAATTCATTGAATACTGTTCTACAAGTGAAAAACAGAATAGCTGTATGGGTACTTGAAGTATGGCTGCGACTGAATATGCATCACTTTTGCGCCTCTGAAAAGTTGAACCATTCTAAGTTGAGGGCCATCTGTGTTTGTTTATATCATTATGGACTCTACGATTTTTATTTTACTCTATGTATTATAATATGTTATTATCATTTATCTTGATATTCAAATTATCTCAGACTTGGCCAGTGGGGGACCCTACAGCTTGGTTCCTTTGCCTTTTTACACATCTTCATCATTCTTTGAGTGCTTCCTTATTTTTCTGGCAGCAAAATGTTACAGGCTTATCTCACACTTTTCCAGTCCTGGCCCCAGAATCAGCCATTTCTCTAAGGAGTCCTGGATCTTTTAATTAACGAATTATATTTAGAAGCCCAGATCCGGGCCCCAGATATTCTCATGGCTTATTCAGTGTTATTTTTAGGTCTTCTTAGTGGATAAAGCAAATAAACATACGTGTGTGTATACATAAATACACATCTATTTCTATATCTACTCTTAACAATCCATGGGTTCATATTCATCGCTCTAATTATCTAATATCTCCAATCCAATTATCACAGAGTTCATTTTACCCTCTCCCTTTTTCTGACAGTCAAACCTCACTCCCACTACTGCCATTGTATTAGTTTATTTGCTCAACCCTAGAATATATATTAGTTTCAGAACTGTAAGCCCATACACTCCACCCAACAAACCTACTAATTAGAGTTTTATTTTGTTTACAGATCTGTCTTCAGCTTGTGTTAAAGAATCTCTGGGATTAAGACTTCTCCCCTCTTCAATGTAGTTAAGTTATTCATTTGAAATACAGGCAGGTTTATTGTACCCTAAAACTTAAAGTATAAAAAAAAAAAAAGAAATACAGTCAGGTTTATTTAGTTTCTACTTATGTATCATTTTGCTTTTCCCCCATCTTTCTTTGTTGCTTTTATTTTTGATTTTTTTAAATATGTAAAATACTAACATACTTTCTAAAAGTTAAAATAATACAAAAAT
Organism: Homo sapiens; assembly: GCF_000001405.40. NCBI lineage: Eukaryota > Metazoa > Chordata > Mammalia > Primates > Hominidae > Homo > Homo sapiens. The sequence continues at coordinate 197,063,345 of NC_000003.12, forward strand.
GTATACTCAGAGAAATGTCATACCCCTCATCCTTTCCATCCCATTCCAAATTCCCTCTCTACATCACTCCCTCTGTAGGTAACCAACCTCATTAAGTTCTGATTTACCTTTCCTGTGCTTATTTTCACACAACTGAGCAGAGATTTGTATTTTCCCATTTTCTCTTATTTTATACCGTAGATATTCTTTTGCATGTTGTGTATCAGTTCAAATACCTTATTAACAGTTTTAGAGAACTTCATTTTGTGAATGTAAAATTAATTCAATCACTTTTATCTGGGCATTTAGATGATTTTCAGTATTTCACAATTATAAACAATGCTACAATGAATAAATACCCTTTTGCCCATGTATTTTCATACTGTTGGGGTATATCTTTGGAATAAATTCCTAGAAGTGGGATGCTGGGTTGAAGGAAAGCTGCTAGATATTGCCAAATACCCTTCCAAAAGGCAGTACCAGTTTGCATTTCCACCAGCAATGCACAACTGTTTTCTCTCAGTCTCACCAAGAAAATGTCTTCATATTTCTCCCTGAATCTGATAGGGGAGAAATTGAATTTAGAGTAGTCTTCTTAATTTACATTTTTTTTTTTTTTTTTTGAGATGGAGTCTTGCTCTGTTGCTCAGGCTGGAGTGCAGTGGCATGGTTTTGGCTCACTGCAATCTCCTGGGTTCAAGCGATTCTCCTGCCTCAGCCTCCTTAGCCAGGATTACAGGCATGCACCACCACGCCAAGTTAATTTTTGTATTTTTGGTAGAGATGGGGTTTTGCCATGTTGGCCAGGCTGGTCTTGAACTCCTGACCTCAGGTGATCTACCCACCTCAGCCTTCCACTGTGCCTGGCCTTATTTTTTTTTTTTTTTGAGGCAGAGTTTCACTCTTGTCACCCAGGTTGGAGTGCAACGGCACGACCTCGGCTCACTGCAACCTCCACCTCCCAGGTACAAGCAATTCTCCTGCCTCAGCCTCCTGAGAAGCTGGGATTAAGGCATGCACTGCCAAGCCTGGCTAATTTTTGTATGTTTAGTAGAGACGGGGTTTCACCATGTTGGCCAGGCTGGTCTTGAACTCCTAACCTCAGGTGATCCGCCTGCCTTGGCCTCCCAAAGCGCTGGGATTACAGGCGTGAGCCACCGCACCCGGCCTTTACATTTCTTTAATAATGACTACAGTTGAACGTCATTTCCTATGTACAAAGGCCATTTTATATCTTATTTTTGTGTGAACTATATATTCTGATCTTTTGTCCACTGTTTTTTTCTATTGGGTTTCTGGTCTCTGTTCCCTGTTTTTATGAGTTCTTTATATATTGGGAATATTAGCCCTTTTCTTGCAAATTTTTTCTGTCAGTTGTCTTTTGACATTGTTAATGGTGTTTTCCAATAGTTTTTGGAAAAAGTCTTTGGCCATAAAAAAAGTTTTTTAAAAATTTTAAGTGGTTAGATTTATTGATCTTTCTTTTTTTTTCTTTTTTTAAGAGCCAGGGTCTTGTTCTGTTGCCCAGGCTGGAGTTCAGTGGCATGCTCATAGCTCACTGCAGCCTCAAACTCCCAGGCTTCAGTGATTCTCTCAACTCAGCCTTCTCAGTAGCTAGGACTGTAAGGGTGCACTGCCACACCCGGCCCTTATCTCCTTTTAATATATGCTGGAGAGCTAGGCCTAAACAAAAGGTCTATCTCTAGCAAATGACCTGAAAATAACTTCTCTTACATTCATGTTATCATTTCTATTTTCACTTTCTTTGTTTACCTTATTTACCTGTTTTATCTTGTATGCACTTTCCTAAGCCATGGAAAATTAATTATTTAGGTAAGCAAATTCATCACATTAACAAAACTAATTAGTGCTGTATCTATCCTACCAGTCTTGCATACTGTCAAAGGCATATCTGATTAGAAGCTATATTCTGGGATTAGTCTGATGCTTACCTTTTCTGCTACTTCTCGTACAGACTGAACACTTGTTCCATATAGATGATTGTTATACTGGCCAGCTTCAATGAATTTATGTTCCTGGATATCTTTTTCCATCTGCTCTCTTGAAGTCACAAAATGATAATCTCTTCCATCTACCTCATAATCTCGTTTTGGTCTAGTTGTATCTTTAACAGAAAAAAACTTGGGAAAGTGTTTAATATTAAAAAAAAAACCACAATAAATCCATTTTCTACTTACATCGTTTTGTAAAGTTCAACAGAACAGATTAATTTAAATCTGAGAAAGGACAATAATATGGAGGATGGAAGAGTAACTGATAAAATAAGTACAAACCATTAAAAAATGGTTATATCTATTTTTCCCACACACAGTGACAGGAAATGTTAAGAGTAACAATTAAATGTTTTTGTTTGGTTTACTTACGAGGAACACAGGATCCAAATTTGTCAGGAAATTCTGAGATCAAGTCATCATTTATCCTGTCTTTCATAGGTCCCAATATGATCACTGGTCGAGTATAATTAACTATAAAGATAAACTGCATGTTAAAAGGAATAAACATTCAACAAATATCAATGTATTTTATTTCACCAGCGAACAAAAATATCCTTAACTGTTATGACTAATTTTTTTCTTCCCTCTCCATCTCACTCTACCATCAACCAAAGATGCGTAACTTGCTCTTTTATAATCTTGACTCAGATCTTAAACTTTACTTAGTCTTCTGCTAGAAGTCATATTGATAATTCAATCAAGTTAAATTTGGTGTTTTCGCAGATAATGTTTCTTTACATTGCAAATGACAGAATAAAGTCTAGTGTTTTACAGATGGCTTTGAAGTAGAAATTGTAAGGAAGCAGAGCAAAGAAGGGCAGAACAGAAACTGGATGTAGGAAGTGATATAATCCCAGTAGTAGCATTCTAGAAAGATGATCTAACAGAAGTGTAAACTCTGGGTGGTCTGGGATCATGCTGGAATAATGGAGATTGGTAGTGAGACTGAGAACTAACATTGTGATAGAAGGGATGAAAAGAAGGTCATAAATAAGAAAGAAGTGGGATAAACAGTGCCTGGAACCTAACTGGATGAGGAGGAGGAGGAGGAACAGAGAAGGCTCAAAGATACTTCCAAGATTTTCAAAAAAGGGTTATTTGGAAGATAGTGATGCTAACAAGAACACTGGAACAAAGTTGCTTGGGAAATAAAACACAAATATAAAAGTCAGTATGAAATGACTAGATTCTAATATTCTGTGGAGTAAACTATGTTTCATAAAACACATGTAGTAAATTTCTACATGTATATGTAGTAAAAAAAAATTTTAATACAACATTTTTTGGGGTATGAGAATTTTTTTCCCCCAAATTAAAAAGTATATTCTTCTAGAAGGTTATAAAACATCAATAGGCTTCACAAACCTTCTTGTTGATTCACTGGTTCATAAGATAAGACGTATTCTTCTTGACCACCTATTAGAAAGTGAAGGCACAGATGAAAAATGTGTAAAGATAATTGATGCTAATCTAATTCTTCATAAACAACATATACATTACTAGAACTTTCCTGAGAAAATGGCAAAGATATGGAAAGAGGTACTTTATGGCAAGATTTAGTTAAAAAAAAGTGTCAAATTATAAAGTCTTAAAAGTGAGTTTGCTAAATGTAAAACAAAATACAAATGGGCTATATAATCAATATTATATTTTATAGATAATCAAATCTAAAAATCTTCATTTGTGATGCTATGTGCTACTCCTTTATTTAGAATCTAAGAATTATTAAATCTGTTAAAGATTAATGCTTTAATGAGCAGATCTGTCTATCATCTATCTACGTATTAGGTAATTTGTTACTATTAAAAACATGCTACTTTTTTTGTTCCACCAACTACAATACTGAATACAGTATATTTTATTTTTAAAATAATTACATCTTAAAATTAAAAATTATAAATGCAAAGGTAAAACTACTGTTACTATTTCACTGATGAAAAATTCACTAACTCAACTTTGTAAAAAAATAATAAATTTAATGTGAGTCAAAAAGAGCTTTAGATAAAACTAAATCCTTCCAAGAAAATAAACAACAGTGATAGTAAAGGAGATAAATATATTTGCTTTGACCTTAAAAACACAAGAAGTTAAAGCTTCTAAAGGTTAAATTAAAGGTTCGGAGCTTAGGAAATACTCTAAATAAAAGAGTCTACAAATTATATCTGAATATCTGAATCCAGTGAAAAGAAATAAATAGTTAAAAACTCTGAGAGTTTTTTTTTTTTTTTTTTTTTTTGAGACGGAGTTTCGCTCTTGTTGCCTAGTCTGGAGTGCAATGGCATGATCTCAGCTCACTGCAGCCTCCAACTCCCGGGTTCAAGCGGTTCTCCTGCCTCAGCCTCCCAAGTAGCTGGGATTACAGGCATGTGCCATCATGCCCAGCTAATTTTGTATTTTTAGTAAAGATAGGGTTTCTCCACGTTGGTCAGGCTGGTCTCGAACTCCTGACCTCAGGTGATCTGCCCGCCTCGGCCTCCCAAAGTGCTGGGATTACAGGCGTGAGCCGCCGCGCCCGGCCAAAAACTCTAGGAGTTTTAAACTAACACACACACATCCCCCCTCACCCCCACGCCTAAAATTAGAAAAGACTGTGTTAACCCAAGTGGTTCAATGAAAGCAATCAATATTGGATAATGTATTTGAAGACTTTCTCTTTAATTATCAAGATCCTATAACAATTTTACCATGAATTTTGCAATTGGTTTATATTATATGTATGTAGCTGTAGGTCTTTTAAATCCATACATTGGCATAAACATTCTTTTCTGTTTTAGAAGTATTTCTTTGTTTTCAATTTTATTATCAAAGTACATAAGACCAATATTTTATAAGCTGTTTTTTAAAGTACTGGATGTGAAACATGGCTTACATACTAGCAAACACATGCAATTTGAATATTTCACACCTTAATAATTCATGCAAATGGTGAGAGACAGTATATACTTTCATTACCTCTTTTTAGCCTAGAAAGCCACTCAACTACCCTATAGTGGGTTCTGGTTATAATTAATAAAATGCTGAAATACAGGAAATCATTTCCACACCAAAAAAAAAATCATTAAGTAACTATTGTGTAGAAAAATAATCAACCAAATGAATGACGGTTAAAAGTATATACTGTCAACATGAAAAAGTATTAGGGACTGATATTAACAGGATGGACCTTTTGAGCAGCCATACTCATCTGTAATCAAGATTACTTTCATATTAGACAGCAGTAAAAAAAGAAAGTTAGAAAAGTAATTTTAATTTTTAAGGTGCTACAACTGATATTATGTACCCTCCCCTTCTCCCATGCCCAAGTCTGTTTTAAAACATCACATGCTTGTGCAGTTCACTTAATAAAACCAAGAATGTAATATAAAACAGCAAAAGAAAAATTAGTATTATTTTTCAGGTGATCATTGAAAATGTTTCCTTATTTCTTCCGTTCACCAAGTGCTGGTGATAAACAATGACATGACCCAGATCAGTATTGGTGACAAAGAATAAAAATGGAAATAAAGCTAATGATAATTTAGCATTACTGAAAAATATTATTTTAGTGCTCATGTTAAAACCAATTACTAAACAGAAGGTCAAAATACAAGTTTTCCCCCATTTAACTAGATATTTACTTCTTACAAAAAATACATATACATATACATATGTATCATGTACACAAATAATATTTTTATTTTATTAAAATTTTATAAATTAACCTCTACATATATAGTATGATTTTATTTTTCAAGTACAGAATTTTACTTGTCTCTCCCTGATTTTAAAATAACGATCATATAACTTCAGGTTTTTATAACATATCACTCAGAATCCCTCCACCCCTGCAGAGGATGTATTACTCGAGATTACAAAAGAACAAGTAACTTAAAACACTTACGGTAACTACTTTCACTATCGCTGGCATTAGAAGTTACATGCTCTGAAATTGCAGGACAATGAAAAAAAATAAAACAGTGTCATGAGTTTAAAAAGCAAATAATCAAAATGAAATGTTGAGATATAAGCCATATATAACAAAATAATTTTTTAAAAGCATTTTCTTTTTCTTTGAAACGTTTAAGTTTTTCAAATAATAAATATATATTAGCAAAGGAAAACTCCTGTAATTAAGGACAATGCCTTATTTTTGTACAACACAGTTTATGAACAAATCTATTATAAATAGCAAGTAGAATATGACAAAAAGGGCTAAGTGACCCTGAATTAGTCCAAATGTAGACATAAAACTCAAAGGAGAAAATACTGTTGGCACTATTTCAGTTTTTGAAACAGCGTTAACTGGCAAAGGGGACAAACTATATTTAAACAAATAGATGCCCATTTTAATGACGGGATGTCTTTGTAATTAAAAATAAATAGATGATCTTATTTTCAATCCAGCTTTGCTCCTGTTTCTGAAGATGAAAATCCATGTTTCTGAGATCATATAGATAAAGGATTGTAAAGGTCATAAATTCAGATGTCTCAGCTGGAAGGGAAGGCACTGATGGTGGCAATTGCATTTTAAAACCAACTAATATTAGAAGTCATAAATTCAGATGTCTCAGCTGGAAGGGAAGGCACCGATGGTGGCAATTGCATTTTAAAACCAACTAATATTTCTTAGAAACTCTGCTTTGATAAGACTGGCACTGGCTGGCTTTTGCAAAACATAAAAAAGACAATGAGAACAAACACACCCAGCCAGAAACTGCCTGGCCCTCCTTAAAAGTGACTCCATTTCACGACTTTATTGTTTGGTAAAACCATAGGCACTCTTCTCATCCATGTAAATGTCATCTCAAGTTTTCTCTCAATAAATATCTCCCTTCAATTAAACAAAGACTAATACTTTTATTTTTAAAAAATAAAAATAAAACTTTCAATGAGACAGGGAAATCTGAATTTTTATTTTAACTTTTTTTTTTTTTTTTAATTAAAGGGACAGGGCCTCACTCTGTTGCTCAGGTGGGAGTGAGGTGGTATGACTATAGCTCACTGCAGCCTCGCCCTCCTCTCCTGGGCTTCTGTGATCCTCCCATCTTAGCCCAGAGTGGCTGGGACTACAGGTATGTACCACCATGCCCTGCTAAAATTTTGTTTTTTTTTTTTAATAAAAGAGACAAGTCTCAACTATGTTGCCCACACTGGTCTCAAACTCCTGGCCTCAAGGGATCCTCCCATCTCAGCTTCCCAAAGTGCTGGGATTACAGGTGTGAATCACCACACCCAGCTGGAAATTTCATTTTTTTTTTTTTTTTTTTTTTGAGATAGTCTCCCTTTGTTGCCCAGGCTGGAGTGCAGTGGCACGATCTCAGCTCACTGCAACCTCTGCCTCCTAGGTTTAAGCGATTCTATTCTTGTGTCTCAGACACCTGACTACCTGGCACTGCAGGTATATAGCACCATGCCCAACTAATTTTTCTATTTTTAGTAGAGACTGGTTTCACCATGTTGGCCAGGCTGATATTGAACCTCTGAGCTCACGTGATCTGTCTGCCTTGGCCTCCCAAAGTGCTGGGATTACAGGTGTGAGCCACCGCACCTGGCCAAATGGTAGGTTTTTTAAAAGCTCATATTAAAATATTTCTTTCCATGTCACCACATGGGCTTGACAGCAATAATTTAAAATTGGTGTATAATATTCTATTAGATTGATACATTATTTACCTCGCTATTTATTAGATATTTTTATTTGCTTTAAACTGTTTTTCACAAGTATCAACAATTATGAATGTCTTCATTTATATATACCTTTTAACTTTCTGTCCTATTTCCTTAAATTTCATACCCAGAAACACGCCACATTAAAAAAAGAGTTATTCTGTTTACATTAGTATTGGTATTACCCTCTGCAATCTCTAGTTTGTAAACTAAAGAAAAATTAGTTATTGCAATGGGGTGAAGGGAGGGGAGTGTAAGTGGGAGTACAGAAGAAACAGAATTGGCAAATGTTCAGTTGACAATTATGAAAGCTGGATAAACAAATACCTGCAGGGTTTATTTTTACTACTTTTCTACTATTGAATATATCTGATATTTATATAATAAAAAGTTTAAGTTACCAAAATCTCTTCACTGTCTTTTTTTTTTTTTTTTGAGATTTCTCCTACTCACCTCAAACCCTCTAAGACTGCCAAAAGCTACGCCACAATCAAATTCTGCAGGTTCTTTCAAATATCATTTCACTTAGCTCTTCTACAATAAAGCCTCACTACTCAAAGTATGGTCCTTAGAATAGCGTCATCATAATTGTTTGGAATGTTATTAGAAAAATAAAATGTTTTTCTTCTGATAATTGAAAATGTTCCTCTTCAAAGCATTTTACCAAAGAAGACAGTCAAATAACCAATAAACATATAGAAAAGTGTTCAAGTTAATTACTTGTCAGGGAAATGCAAATTATAACCACAAAGAGTGTCTCTGCCATCCACCAGAATGGCTAAAATGAAAACACAAAACAGACATGTCAAGCATCGATAATGATATGCAGCAATGGGAGTTCATGCGCTAGGAATGGGCAAACTGGTAAAACTAGAAAACTAATTGGCAATAGCTACTAAGGCTGGACAAATGTGTATCTATACGACCCAGCAATTCCTTTCCTAGATATTTCCCCAACAGAAAGGCATATATATGCTTACCACAAGACATGTATAAGAATGTTCAAAGCAACACTATTTAAAATAGCTCCAAACATATAAGACTGAGACAATATATGCAGTTTCATATTTTACTTTTTTCATAGATAGTAAGCATTTCCCCATGTCATTATCTTTAAATATGATTTTTGATGGTTATGTAATATTACATAGTATGGATAAATCATACTTCATTAGGCACTTCCCAACTGTAAGACATTTTACCACGGTTTTTTTTATTTTTGCTGTTATTACTCAATAATATTATAATAAGCATTCTGATATATAAGGCTTTGTCTCCATCTCTAATTACATCCTTAGGATAAATTCTTTGAAGAGGATTTAGTGGGTCAAAAGATGTGCTTTTTCAGGAAGGCTGTGCCAATTTACACTCCCATACATTTACTTGTAATACATTATTTACTTGTAATACATTAAAAGCAGGCATTTAGCAGCACTCTCTCCGTCATGGGTTTTCTTTTTAAACAAAAGTCTGCCAAAGTGACAGGTAAAACATTTTGCTTATCACTACTAGGGAAATTAAACATTTTTTATATGCTTATTTCATTTGCTTATCTTCTGAGCACTCTTGCCCAGTTTTCTAATGGAGAGTTAGCTTATTTCTTATTACCTGTTAAAAACTTATAAAGATATTATCCTTGTGACATACATGGTACAAATAAATTCTTCAAGTTTTTATTTTTGTTTATGATTGTCTTAAAAAAAAAAAAAACAAAAAAACAAAAAAAAAACCTGAGTCTTGCTCTGTCACCCAGGCTGGAGAGCAGTGGCGTGATCTCGGCTTACTGCAACCTTCACCTCCCGGGTTCAAGTGATTCTCCTGCCTCAGCCTCCCTCCCGAGTAGCTTGGATTACAGGTGTGCACCACCATGCCTTGCTAATTTTTGTACTTTTAGTAGAGACGGGGTTTTGCCATGTTGGCCAGGCTGGTCTCGAATTCCTGACCTGAGGTGATCTGCTGGCCTCAGCCTCCCAAAGTGCTGGGATTACAGGCGTGAGTCACCGCGCCCAGCCTGTTTATGATGTTTGATGAACAGATCTATCTCAAATCTCTCTAACCAAGTTTTATCATTGTACTCAAATGCTTCTTCCTGATACAGTACATCATGTTTCTCTTCTGCTCTCCTCTAATACTACATCATCAATCTGAAGCAATGAAACTACTCTTACATCTTATTCGTAATGCAAATGAAAATAAGTCTGTTTTTGGCATTTAGAAGCTCTGCACAACTATGCGTACGTCTTTAAAGTGAGAAGAAAGAAAAGACATATGTAACAGGAAACCTACGTGCCTGAGGAAATTTTTGAGGTGTTGTACAACATGGAAAGTTGTAAAAATGGAAAGCCTACATGTAATAAGAACAAACCTTGTCTCAAATCTTATGTCATAATTTTACTTCTGAGCACCTTATGTATCTTTTATTGAGTTATGTTTCCTTTCAGTCTCTGTTAAAGGAATCTTACCTAGTTTTAGTCCCTTGAGCTTTTTCAAAATTACCTCCCTTAAAGCATGAAAGCGGCACGGGTTTTTATTTCTAGCTTTTCGCAAATGATGACTTAGCTGCATTCTCCCAAACTTCCATTGTACTCTCATTAGTTCTGTTTAGCAAAATTAGGTTTGATAAGACGATTTCTCTCACTGTTTTCTCTACTGTTAACAGGGAAATCAATAATTTATTTGACTCTCTTCTTCTCAGAATAAAGAACAAATGAATTCAGGTCTACACAAAGCGTTCTATGGTATCACTTCTGTTTCTCTGTCTGCTCTTCAATTAAATACCCCATTTTTCATAGGTTGTGTGAATTTACAGCAGATATACATTTTTTTTTTCTTGATATTCAGTGTTATTCCATTTCTCTTCAATAGGTTCGGTTCTCTGGAATAACTTAACCTTCTTTTTTGGGTTCTTTTTGAGTTTTGTTCCAATAAGGCCTGATGACTACCTACATTAAGTTGCACTTATTTTCTTATATTAAAGTCTCTCAAGATTTTGCTTAGTTTATTCCCTACATTCTTAACTTCAGAATGTAAGTAACTGAGGCCACAAGTAACGTCCTTGAACACATCCTTCTTCCCAGTATTTACTACTACATAATCATGGGCACCTTGTCAACTGCCTTATATCATCTATTTTATGTGATAACCTCCATCATATCCAGTTTTAGAATTTTACTGATATTTTTCTGTCTTCTCCAACATTTTGTGAATAAAATCTTGATCTGATGATCAAGTTACCAGGTGAATAAATTCTTTTAATTCCTGTGAGATGAAGCACAGAAATCTATTATTCAAGAGATCTTAGGTCACTCTCCAGAAAATAAAATCTTTTTCTGAATAACGTCGTCTGATAATCAGTTACCATTTTTCATATTATTTCTCTTCCAAAGTCTCAATCTTCAATCAGAACCAGAGAAAGAGGGTCAAGGTATAATGATCATCTATTATAACATCAATATGGGAACCAAATTCTTCATTTAGTTTCTTTTTCTATGAGTTTCCTATGTCTCTGTTCACTTAACATATAAGAAAAATCTGTGGGTCCATTTGTTGATCCATACCACCTCTAAAGTATGTTATCAATCTCAAAATAAATTCTATAGCATACATAAACTGTGGTAGTATGGTCCAATTTTAGAGGTTTTCATTGATAATTTTCCCCAAATGTAAGGGTGTCACTAGTGATAGGAAATCTGTGGCCCTTACTAAATCCTATAAAGGCACATGCAAAAATAACAAAGTGTGTCTAACAGAAAGAGTTGTAAATAAACATACTGTCTTCAATCTAATACAAACTTAAATCACTATGGTTGAAATAAAAGTACCTGCAGTTTAGATTAAAATTTCAGCATAAAAGCATAAATCAGAAAAATGTCTTATGTAAAATTTAATGTTTATTAATGTAGGTCTTAGAAAGTTAAAAGATACTGGCTATAGGCTTAATGATCAATGAATGACAAAGAAGTTTTCAAAATATTTAATAATCTAAATAGAAAGAACCATTTAGAAAATATTAGATTAAAAGATTACTTCTATCACTCACTGTCACCTAAAGTTACTCAGTAATGTTTGGTAAATTTTCAGTTAAGCAATTTGAAAACATGCAAATTAAAAATTTTATTTGCTAAAATGGCTTCTTGCTTCATTCATTCATGCCAACATTTATTGAATGTCTTCTACATACTAGACCCTGTGTGAAGCTTTACATGAAGATTAAGTAACTAGCTAGAAAATTAAACAAGAACAGCAGCAACAAAAACCAAAAACAAAGGCAACATCTTAGCTAAAGGAAAAACAAAATAGTTCTTATACTCTTGTGGTAACTTATAACTTTCTCAAAAAAAAAAAAAAAAAAAAAAAAGAGATACACAACCTATCCCCTCAATAAACTGCTACTTGCGTAGTATTCTATTGTGCTTTATACTTTTATAGTAATGCTTTTCTAACACATAATCAAAATTATTTTAAATTATTTTAACAAAAAAAAGGGGAACATAAAACTCCAAGGAAGCATATTTCTACATTCTAATAATGAGGGTACATTTAAAAAAATCTTAAAAGTTTTTATATTTTAAAAGTTCCTAGCAAAAGTAACTGTCGTAAAAATTACAAAAAGGAAAATATAGTTACGAGCAAGAGAATTTTTCAAATGACATGTGAAAAATAAAAACAAAAAGTTATGTATTACAGAAATAAAGTCCCAAGCATGTGATAAACATGAAAATTCTAAAAGCAATCTAAATCATACACCTCCTTATGCCAGAAAGGCACTACCATGAATCTCAAAATGTATCTGAATAAGGTAGGTCTGCAGATGGAGGTTAAAAAATAACTTGGGAGTATTTTGATCACTTACTCAGGCCTTTTGATCCCATGTCGTCAGGGATCTCCTGTAGAGGGTAGTCCCCAGAGAGCAAGCAATAAAAAGATAATCAAAGAAAATAGTTGTCAGTAATGCATAAAATTGGTGCTACAGTAAGAGACAGTTCCAAGACCATTACAGGTACATATATCTTACAGAGCATTTTTACATATTTCTAGAACTTTGAAATGAGCTAGCTGCTAACTGTAATCTACCAAAAGAATGAAAGTTCTAGCATGAAGGCTGATTCAGGTACAGAAGCAAAATTTTAGACCATTTCTTGCTATTTTAAAAGTAAAATCCAGATTGTCTACATATAATGAAGAAATAGGGTAAAATGTAATGATTCCAGAGAATCCAGTTATCAGACTCGCCATGTTATACCTAGAAATCAACAGGTAGCTTCTCATGTATTCATGTTCTTCCTCTAAAATATTCTTTGAATGTATGAATGTGTTTTTCATAAAAATCTTTCCTTCAAATAACTGCATTTATACATATTTATATGTTCAAGTTATAAACATATAACTGAAAAATAATGTTTGCTTTAAATTAAGAATTCCTAAGGTGCCAGAAAAAGTTAAGATCGGCATACAAATTAATTTATAACTGTTAAGTTGCCCTTGAAGACAATTAGCAACCTGCTGCAGCTCTTGAAACTGTCTCCATGGTAACAACCAACTGCAGGGCAGTAGGTCCCTCTCCATTTTATTTTCAGTTGACCACTGGATCCACATACTTACGGTCAGCATCACTTGTTTCCTGCTCACTCTGGTCCTTGTTCTTGTAGAAGGGGAATTTTCGGGAAAAGAGGTTCTTTTTACGCTTGTCATTGAATGACTGCTGAAGAAGAGAAGGAGGGGCAAAACAAAGGGATGTCTACTGTCTGTGTGTACAAAGGCCCAGCCTAGCAGCTCTGTGGAAGCTGACTCCTATGACCACAGTGTGCAGTTTGTATATGATTTTTACTTTAATCTCATATAAAGTGAATTTCTACTTTTGTATAAATTCTAACATTTTGCAACTGAAAATACTTAAGAATTTCAGACAGCATAGTTCATTTATACCTAAAAATAAAAATGCTACTTGACAAAAAAAGGCAAATCAGTTACTACTACAGTACAAACCAAGCTAACATTTGTTTATACTAATCCATGTTTTTCCAGAAAAATTTTCAAGTATTAAGTGCTCTACAGCAAAAGTTATTTAATGTTACTTTGCTGCTCAATTACATTTTATTCATTATCTTCATTTTATTTTGGCCTGACCACAGTTATTCCTTTATCTCTTTTTTTGTGGCTACGATGAGCTAACAGAAAAGTCATTATTTAAAAAGTAAACCAAAATGATTATGAGAAAGTTGCTAATGCTGAATATTTAAAAAACAAATATATATATATTTATATATACACATATACATATTCTTGGAAGAGGATAAAAGGTAACTAAATGCTTATGAGCCAGAAAATGGGAAGAAAACTAAAAGGTCCATCAAGCACACAGAGTCCAGCAAGAGACTTATCAATGCCATCTCTTAGCCAAGCAAGAAGAGTCAGAAGTCTCCTGACCAACGTGAATGCTTCAGTACTGAAGTCTCCTGACCAACGTGAATGCTATCAGTACTGACTTATTTATTCTTAAGTTCTACTCTACTTATTAAAAAAAAGTACACATAAATAATGTAGAACCACATCCAATCATTGGCACCACGTCCTTCATAGGGAATAAAAAGTTTGGTGTCCACCAAAGCCACAAGGCAATTAAGATTCTAACAGTTTATACATAATTGTAACGTGGAGTTGAGCAGTTGATTTGATGTCTCTTATTGCACATGTTGGAAACAAGTTTTTCCTTGAATGTCTCATTTGTGCATTCATAGATTTAAGAGCATGTAGCACAAGAACGATGAGGCTATTAAACAGAAATAGCTTCTTTTGTCATTTCTCTGTCATAGGCATTCATGTTTTGAAGGAAACGGGCTTACCTACCAGTGACACTAAGAATTATTATTTTTTGGAGGGGGAAGGGAAAAATATAAAGAATAGATTTTTTTGTTCTGATTTTTATGAGTTTATACACATCTTAAGATGCTGTATTATTCATTATTTTGAAGTATATTGACAAGAACAGTGTGTTTTTGGCATGCCCTTATTTTAAGCATGTGATGCCAGGTAATTAAGGTGAAGCAGCCAGGTGTGGTGGCTCACATCTGTAACCCCAGCCCTTTGGTAGGCTGAGGCAGGAGGATCGCTTGAGGCCAGGAGTTCAAAATCAGCCTAGGCAACATGGCGAAACCCCATCTCAAAAAAAAAAAAAAAAAAATTAGCTGGGAGCAGTGGTGTGCGACTGTAGTCTCAGCTACTTGGGAGGCTGAGGCAGGAGAATCACTTGAACCCAGGAGTTTGAGGCTGCAATGATTAGCTATGATCATACCATTGCATTCCAACCTGGGTGATAGAGTGAGACCTTTTCTTTAAATTAAAAAAAAAAAAAAGTGAAGTAGATTAAAGTGACTTTTAGCTCAAATTCTATGACTTGAGAAGACTTATTTTGATAAAGATCTTTATAAAAACAAGGTTAAACTTTCATTTTTACCTTTTCATATAATTAATTCAGGATTAATAAGTTCACAGTTCATTAGCCAAGCAGACTGTCTTGATTTCAATCTTAAAGTTTGAAGGCTCTGAGGAACTAGATAAAAGAGAACTCTAAGTAGAAGTTAAAAATTCAATGGACAGAAAAAGTATTATGGAGAAATCTGGGCTTATAACTATTTTATAAACTGTCAAGTAGCATTATTTGAATAAAAATCTTTGTTCAAATCCAAATTTTAGAAAGGAGATAGACGAGAAAGTGTTTTAGTGAAAAAAATTATGGTAATCTAATTTAGGGAAAAACTAAATCTTTTCGTTCATAAGAATCAATGGTTTTGAATTTAGCAATAATTTTTATATCTGATACAACTGATGTGTTTTTTATAAAAGTTTATTCATCCCTCTTACTGCATCTATAGTGGTCAGAGTCAGTTTCACAGCAAACAACCAAAAGAAACATGAAGTTTAAAATGTCTGATTCTTATTATCTTTGCAGTTAGCCAAAATGAGATATCATAAAGATATCATAATATAGGACAGAGAGAAATGCTTGTTAGTTAAGAAAGTATTAGTTGTATCACATTTAATATCCTCCAGGTGAAGAACTTATTAAAAGTGAAAAAAATAGCACAAGCAACCAAGACAAAAATGTGTAGGGAAAACACAAAACTGAAGACTTGCTACCTCCAGTTTCTCTGTATTTTCAATCAGAAGTACTACATTTAATACTTACTGTCATTAATGCTATATCGCAAGAGAGACAGTGTAAGAATTGATAAAATATCATAAATTCATGATACATATATTAAATATCTAAATACATAATTTCCACATGTATTTCAAAATAGCCAAATGAATGTTAGACATGTTAATGAGAAACTAAAATGTTGTAAGTCTGTAGTAAAAATAAAGTCCATAATCACTATGTAAGGAAAGGAGGAGAAGTAGGAAATGGTACTATAGAAAGAAATGCAGTTCTGATCAATGGCAAGCGTATTTTCACCCCACTCAGTATCATGCATAGTTTTGGTGCTGTGTTAGAACACAGTGACTCTGTATAAAGTTGGTTACAGTCAACAAACAAGACTAAGATTTAAACACGTCGTTAATTCAGTTAACTTCTTACAGTATGAAAGGAAAGTTACAACATGCAACCTCTTTTTCAATTTATTGATGGTATATTGTACTAAATCATTTTTAAAGATATACATAAAACAAGCATTAAAAAATTCACATTTTTCAAATCCTGAGCATTTACCTGGGATTTTTCCTCTAATACAAATTTCTATTTTAATATTGCTTCAGATCACACTATATAATTTGGAATTTTTCTGAAAGCTACAATTTTAAAGGAATTTATCATTTCTAAAAAATGGAATGTAACACATAATTTTCTCAGATTTAACTTCTTGAACCAAAGATATTTCTCATCTTTTAAATTTTAAAGCTTTAAGTCTGAGTGCTTAGTGATACCAGAGATGTACAGAGTAAATTTATTTGCTGAGTTAACATTCCACATTCATTTCAAATATTATCAGAAGACTTATAAAAATTTTGTTTAGTATTAAAAAAAACCCCAAACATAAAACATTGCTATAAATGGTATTTAACATAACATGTATTCAGTTTGTTCTCCAGGCTTACTGCTAGAATATTCCACTGCAGTGAGTTCAGGATTATTAAGAATTACATCCACCAATACGGGATGAAGCCTGTACCATCTTTCTCATCTATCGACAGCCCAAGTATTTAGATGCAAGCAGAAGGACTTAAAGTGAAGGAAAAATAAATACACTTCTAAAATATATGATGAAAGAATTGATATATTTCCTTTTTTTTTTTTTTTTTTTTTTTTTTTTTGAGACAGGGTCTCACTCTGTCACCCAGGCTGGAGAGCAGTGGCATGATCATGGCTCACTACTGCCTGGACCTCCTGGGCTTAAGCAATCCTTTCACTTTAGCCACTGGAGCAGCTGGGACTACAGGTGCAAGCCATCACGCCTGGCTAATTTTTTACCTTTTTTTTTTTTTTTTTTTTTTTAAGAGATTGGGTCTCGCTCTGTTGCCCAGTCTGGAGCACAGAGGTGCGATCTGGGCTCAATGCAACCTCCGCCTACCAGGTTCAAGTGATTCTTGTGCCTCAGCCTCCCGAGTAGCTGGGATTACAAATGCCCGCCACCATGCCTGGCTAACTTTTATATTTTTGGTAGAGACGGGGTTTCGCCATGTTGGCCAGGCCGGTCTCTAACTCCTAACCTCAGGTGATCTGCCTGACTTGGCCTCCCAAAGTGCTGGGATTACAGGCGTGAGCCACCATGCCCGGCCTAGTAACACAAATTTCTAATTGGAAATCGAATGAAGGTCAAATACATTTCATTTATAAAAATAAGCTTGACCCAAAAGTATGTTGCTAATAATATATCAAATGATAGTTTTGATAATTTGGAAGGGTCTGTGAAATGGGTGCTTGAATTTAACAAATGCTTAAGTATCTACCATTGTAAAGCACCATGGCAAGAACTGATCATGAATAATTCTGATAGCAAAATCCTTTTCATTTTAACAATGTAGCTCAAACAGGAATTACAAAAATGTAGAGATTTCAAATACTCACCCCTTTATCTCTCGTTTTAGAATTGAATTTCACTGTTTTTAATCGGGCTCGTTCTTTCTTCTCAACTCTGTCAAAGTATAGAATGTTATTTTTTAAGTAAACCAAACATATCTGGGGTCTTACTAGAAATAACCAGAATTGTTATCTTTATAATGGGCATTTTTATACTCTAAAACCTTTAAGAGTCATCTAGGTTTGCATCCCCAAATTAGAATTGCTGAAAAATGAAATAAAGGGCTCATTTTATTATGAAACAAAACCTGATGCTATGAAGTTATCAACACACAGTATATATGTGTATATTTTTATATGTATATTTAGTTACAAAATTATATGAAAGTATGAGGCACCATTTCTGAGTTTAACAGTTTTCCAAGTTTTGTTTGTTTTTAAGTATTAGCTTAGCATGAAGCACATATGCTAAAAATTAAGCTAGAGAAAGCAAATGTGGCAAAATGTTAAAAACTGGTGAAAGTGGGAGAAGGATATGTGGACGTTCACTGTATATTGCCGTTTTTGTACTTACTTTTCTATAGCTCTGAAACTTTTAACAAAAAGGTGGAATATTTAAAAATTAAGCCTAATTTTAATGATATATGTGTGTGTGTGTGTAAATATATAAATAACCAGTTACAGTTATTGAAGTAAGAGTTTTAAAGTATTTTTGGAAGGATACATAAGAACTGTTAATCTTTACCCCTATGGAGGTGAAATGGGTGTTGTGAGAGACAGCCTGTAAAGCCTTCACATCTTTTAAATTCTGAACTTTACCTACTCAAAATAAGCAAGCAAATAAAACTACAATGAAACAAGTTTTTATGTAGATTGTAACACTAATGTAAATCTTGCAAAATGTCATGTAAATTAAGCTTTCATAAATTCTCCAATTTCGACATAGCAATTATGTTAGCATATAACAGAAAAGCCTACCAAAACAAGACTATGAATAAATGAATTTTATTTTTTCCTTATTATCTATTTAGTTTTACTATGGGTACAGCAGGACCTTAGCATTCATGAATTTAAATTTTAAATTTAAGTCTTGGCGCAGTGGCTCACGCCTGTAATCCCAGCACTTTGGGAGGCCGAGGCGGGTGGATCACAAGGTCAGGAGTTCAAGACCAGTCTGGCCAACATGGTGAAACCCTGTCTCTACTAAAAATATAAAAATTAGCTGGGCGCAGTGGCGGGTGCCTGTAATCCCAGCTACTTGGGAGGCTGAGGCAGGAGAATCGCTTGAATCCAGGAAGTGGAGGTTGCAGTGAACCAAGATCATGCCACTGCACTCTATCCTGGGTGAAAGAGCAAGACTCCGTCCCCCACCCCAAACAAAAAAAAAAATTAAAACTCATGATTTTTACGATTCAAGAACAATTCTGAGGCTCCATGACCTGAATAATTTATAATCTTGCCTAGGTACTTATCAACAGCACCACAAAACTAGCATTTAGTGGGTGAGCATTTACAACTCAACTTTGTTTTCTAATCATTATTTTGTTTAGTACATAATTCAGCAACTTAAATTGTCTATATTTGTAAATATTATTCCTGAAAGCCAAGAATTGTAGGAATTACAATTCCTATGTTATTTTAGAAGAGGTCTAAGAAAGAGATAGTTCTATTTAAGAAAAGGTAAGTTTTGAATACATTCAAGAACGAAATGGCATAATTAGTTGTGGTTTCTTACTGTATTTTACGGGAGTAAGATTATATTCTGCAATGCTACTCATGAATGTGGAAATTGGCAGAGGTCTCAAGATATCTTTCTTACATTATTGCTTGCTTTAAAACACAATCTTATAGAATTTTTGTACAAAATGAAAAAAAAATCTCTCCAGTGAAGCCAACAGTGTTTATTATTGGGTGTAGGCACAGAAAGCCTTTGTAAGGTATGAGACTCCAAGAACCAAGACAATTTTTAGGAGCTCTGACCTTGATATTTAAGATGTAAGGTTTCTACTGACTCAACAAGGCATAGAGGAAGCATTTCCGAATTTAAAGCAGACTATGTTCTATTTCTGGAAAAAAGTTATGCTGATTGCTGCATTGCTAAAAGAGGATTTGTCATCAACTGAAAGATCTAGCCAAATAGTTGGATCATGCTAAATATATGGATACAGCCAACAGCAGTTATAAGCCCGAAAATCATAATTATAAATCTTGATTATAATTTAATAATATTACTTTTCAACTTCTACAAACAGGTAAATAAATAAAGGTCTAGAAATAGTTACGAAATAGGTATAAATTCAACTAATAAGAAAAAGATGTTTATTACAGCATAATCGACTTAAAATGAATTAACTAGTTATAATAAACATTTCTTTATGATCTCATTAACTATTTTTGCTGGCTATCTTACTACTACTACTTTAAAAAGCTCTTAAAGAAGAACTTCCAGACAATGATTTGGATGAAGCAGATCTCATAAATAAGCTATCTCAGGGGAATTCTGAAATGACATTTTAACACCTTCCCCACAAAAGCAGAGACACTCAACAGCACTTCACAGGCCTTAGAAGAGGTCCTCTAAGCTGGGACCATCCTTTGCAAAGAGGGCCTGTCCTTAACTACTTTTGCTATGTGCTAAGTATACACCCATGAATCACTAAAATGAATCATTAGGGCTGGCTGCAGTGGCTCACAGCTGTCATCCCAGAGCTGTGGGAGGCTGGGGTGAGAAAATCGCTTGAAGCCAAGAGTTTAAGACTTGCCTGGGCAACATAGCTAGAACCCATCTCCACAAACAAAAACAAAAACAAAAACAAAAACAAAAAACTTAGCCGGGTGCAGTGACACGCGCCTGGAGTCCCAGCTACTAGCTGAGGTGGGGGGATAGCTTGAGCCCAGGAGTCTGAGGTTCAGTGGGCTATGATCATGTCACTGCACTCCAGCGTGGGCGACAGAGCAAGACCTTGTCTCTTAAAAAAATCAATCTACCTACCTACCTATCTACCTATATATAATCATTAAAAGCAAAGAGAAAAGACCAGTGAACTGCACCAATACATGTAATTTAAGCAAGGAAAAAGAGAAGTGAAGCGTATTACCAGATATTTCCAAACATTTTGGCATGAAGGAAGAAATTCATGCCACCAAAAATACAAAATTTAAGTCCTCTTACTTACCTACACCAACCACAGACACTTTCAGTTTTCTCTTCACTGGTATAGCTAAATGGCACACTGATTTAATATATACTTACTTTGTTTTCAGTAACTAGTAGCTTTAGATCAATTTCTGCTTGGAGGCATCACTTTTTGTTGTTTTTTTTTTTTTGAGTCAGAGTCTTGCTCTGTCGCCGAGGCTGGAGTGCAGTGGTGCAATTTCAGCTCACTGCAACCTCCACCTCCTGGGTTCAAGCAATTCTCCTGCCTCAGCCTCCCAAGTAGCTGCGATTACAGGCGCCCGCCACCACACCCAGCTAATGTTTGTATTTTTAGTAGAGACGGGGTTTCACCATACTGGCCAGGCTGGTCTCAAACTCCTGACCTCGTGATCCGCCCACCTCGGCCTCCTAAAGTGCTGGGATTACAGGTGTGAGCCACTGCACCTGGCCCATATTTTCTAGTTATGTCACTGGTTACAATTCCATTTGAATAAAATCAAATGGCTGTGAAACACAATATAAAAAACTGAGCATAAAATCATTTTAGTAAAATAAATTTATTTTTTCAGTTCTGGTGATTATTTTTAATTTTTTTATGTGTATATTTTATATATATAGATAGATATAGATATAGATATAGATATTTAGACAGAGTTTTGCTCTGTCTCCCAGGCTGGAGTGCAGTGGTGCAAACTCAGGTCACTGCAATTTCGGCCTCCTGAGTTCAAGCAATTCTCCTGCCTAAGCCTCCCGAGCAGCTGGGACTACAGGCGTGTGCCTCCATGCCCAGGTAATTTTTGTATTTTTAGTAGAGACAGGCTTTCACCACGTTGGCCAGGCTCGTCTTGAACTCCTGACCTCAAGTGATCCACCCGCCTCAGCCTCCCAAAAGTGCTGGGATTACAGGAATGAGCCACCGTGCCCAGCCTAATTGTATATATTTAAGTTGTACAACTTAATGATTTTATATATATATATTATATATATACATACTGTGAAATAATTACTACAGTCAACCTAATTAACATATCCATTACCTCACCTGGTTGCCTTTTTTTGGGGGGTAAGAACACTTAGGACCGACCCTCTTAACAAATTTCAAGTACAGTACTATTACCTGTAGTTGCCATGCTTACATGTTGGAGGTGCAGAACTCACTCATCTTGTGTCACGGAAACTTTGTATCTCATTTCCCCATCCTCCTAACCCCTGGTAACCACCATTCTTCTCTGTATGACTTCGACTACTTTAGATTTCACATAAAAATGTGATCATACGATTTTTGTCTTTCTGTGTCTGGCTTTTTTCAATTAGAATAATGCACTCCAGGTCCATCCATGTTGTCACAAATTAAAAAAAATTTAAAAGAACATCAATTATTTATGTTGCCTCACATTCAAGTGGTAAGAAACAGGCATACCTGCGTTTACTGGGAATCACTCCGACCTCATCGCTCTCACCATCTGGTGTAACCTGCCTGGCTTGCCACCATTCATCATCAGAAGCATTAATAACATGGAGGATATCTCCAAATTTGAAGTTCAGTCCCTGACTGGGAAGCCCACTGTCTTTAGTCTTGTCATAATCAAAAAGGGCTCTAGAGTCAGAAGAAAAAAAGTCCATAATCACTTGTTATAATATTAATCAACATATCATAGGGTTCTGAAAGTATATGTAATTTGGGTAATTAAATATATCATAGTAGGCCAAATAATGCCCAGTTCAATTCTGCACTGCATACAAGATAAGACAAAAAAGAAATAGCAAAATCAACTTGCTATGAAAATACTGTATTGTATTATTTGTTTCTTTCAATATCACAAGACAAATTTTAAAAACGCTCTTGGATTGTAATCCAATGGTAAGTTATATTGAATTCTAAAATAGACAAATCCAGAGAGTTTGAAATTAATAAACAAAAAGTATTAAGATACATTCTTCTCTTTACTTTGATTAGATACATGTAGGAAAACAAATTCCCTGATATATTTGATTTATTAGTTGTGGACTGTACGACTAGATCAACATAGTGACTATTCTGTCCATTAATTATTCCTTCCATTTGTTCACAATACTAGAGTTGATAGAGTTTTCAGAGTCAGTAACAATGATGGACACTAATTACAGATGACTTTAACAGCTGCCAAATATTTTGGAGAAAGTAATAATTTAATACGGTAATTGCAAAGTGTTAAGAATATTTTAAAATTTGATAAAAAGAAAATATTGTGTGCTACCACTTGATTAATTAATGTACAACATTAAAATAAATCAAATTCTTAAGTCCAAATAAGCTCTCTCAAGAGTGTAAGAAAGGATCACAGCAATTACATTTATAATATAATTTATTCATTCTTTTGTTCTAATTTGGCAACTGGAAATTAGGATGAAAATCGTAATCTTTTTCACACTACCCAACATTTAAGAACCTAGCTCTTCAAGTAAAACTCAAGAGGGGTGGAATTACTTGATGGCTAAATAAATAAACTAGTAGTTAATGGTTTTTCAAATGAGTTCTTTCAAGTCTTTTCGTGGGGCTAAAGGTGCTAGGGAAGCAGGGGGGATCGTTAAGCAGGAGGGCTCACTTAAACATACATTCAAACATAGAGAAGATGAGGGCACAAATAAGCATAATATAAAATAGAAAATAAAGTACCTTAAGAGGTAGTACAAATGTCAAGACATTCAGAAAAGGAAAATACTAACTTCTTACATTATTATAAAAATTCATCTTTTGAATCACAAAATGTAACAGTATTATTGAACAACAAAGGAAATCACCCACAATCTCTACTTACGTTAGCATTTTAACATTCTCTTTTAATATATTTGATTCATAAAAAAAGAAACCCATGGAATACATGTGAGTTATTAATCGTAAGAGTGCAATGAACATCTGTTCACCTACTACCCAACCCAAGACTACACACAAAACCTTCATCAGTAATTCACATTCACCTGCGTATATTCCCTCTGATCCTGATTCCCTTGGATCAAGAGTTAACCACTATTAGAATGTAACTATCATTCTTAATGTTTATTTCTTTGACTCATTCTTTTTTGGTTGGTTTGGTTTTATCATATAATATGTGAGTGACTAAAAGATATAATGTATGTTTTTGCTTGTTTCAGAGCTTTATAAAGAGGTATTCTGTAGGTAGTTTTTTGCAGCCTTTTTTTTTTTTGGCTTTTGAAATTAGAAATACATTGACTAAAAAAAACCCCACAAGACTCAGGTGTGGTGGTGGTGGTGGTGTGTGCCTGTAGTCCCAGCTACTTGGGATGTTAAGGTGTGAGGATCCCTTGAGCCCAGGAGTCCAAGACAAGCTTAGCCAACAGGGCAAGACCCCATCTCAAAAAGAACCATGAGGCTTCTGATTAACTATAGCACACTGTGTCTATTTCTTCTCCACCCTGACTCATTAAAATGACAATAAAATACGAAAAATACAAAAGAGAGAAGACAACAGGGGAAGAGAGATTTTAACACATTTCTGGATGATGCTAATTAAATTTAGCAGAATGAAAGAAGCTATAAATGGAGTGGCAGCAGAGAGGGTTATAGAAACAAGTTTTATTCCATAAGAATCCTGGAGATGGTCATAAATTAGAAGTGTACAGTAGTACCAAGGTAGGCAGGGATAAGTTACTGTACTAAAAACAGAAGGTAGAAACACTGTATGTAGCACTTAGACCAACCCCACCAAAGTTCCTTTTCCCAGTCCCCAAACCCACAGAAGACCAGTGGTTTAGTCTCCAGAGAAATTGAATTTGAGGAGCTGTATACTCTGAAACTTGGTGGAGAAGGGGAAGGTGGTTGGACTGAAATGGATGAAAATAAAATTCTAGCAACTTGGTTTATACTATTGGCAGGAGACAGGGATTCTTCTCTAAGGATATTTAATTATAGAAAAGAACAGAATGACGTGGGACAGGAGAGAAAATTTAAGAGCCAATTTATCCCCCCCTTTACCCCACTGTCTTCTAGTTAAATCCATTATCTTCATTTCTCTATTCCTAAGAGTGGAAAACAATGAAAGGAACACTGGATATTTAAAGAATGCCTTATATAAAACACTAAAGAAAAAACCTCCAAGAAAATAGGATAGCTAGAAAAAAGGAATACAGAGAAAGCAAAGAATACAAAAAAGCAGAAGAAAATCTCAGAGACACACCAGATCATGTCCACAAAAGAAATGGAAGATGAGGGAGCTCCTGCAAAATAAAACAGGGTATCATTCCCTCCCCCACATTCCAAATTCTCTACTGGGGAGAAGGCAAAACAAAGTCATTTCAGACATGCTAAGCCTCAAAGGGTGCCTCCCACACACCTTTTCGCAGGAATTTACTGGAGGATGTGCTCTAGGAAGATTAATTGAGAAAGAAGAAAATGTGGCATCTAGGAAACATGTGACATAGTAGACAGCCAAAGGAAATAGAATAATGGCAAAAGGGAAGTCCCAGCTGAGAGCTATACAGCACGTTTACAGAGGAACTAGTCTAGACTGGAGCATAAAGATAGAAAAAACCTGAACTATCAGACCGTATGTGTGACCATATGTTTTCATCATGTGAAAAACTCTACAGTGGTTACTGGAAGATACAGAAAGATATTTAGTAGTAAGAATATGAAAAATCAAATAAAATGCAAGACAATTATTAAGTCCAGGAAAAATGAAGGGCTGCAGAAGAAAGGAGGCAGCTCATAGGGTACCACTCGACTGAGTCATGACAGCTATTGCATAGTCACATGACTGTAAATGCTATTAGTTTTATTAACAGAGATAGGCTATGTTTGGGTGATGGTGATGAGACTGAATGAGTGGTTTGGTTCTACACAGAAACGTTCTCATCTACCATGGTTGTAAGACTAATGCGCAAAACTGGTAAAGTAGAAGATAGCAGTATATGCATGTTATTTAGAAATATAGAGGCGAAGGCTTCATATTTAGAAATAAGGAGGTGAAGGAAGTTTGCTAGGAAAATGGAGGATGCTTGTTTCTGGAGAATGAAACTAGGGGCTGGTGCCGGTGACAGTTGTTTTTCATTATAAGTCTTTAGATAATATATGGTTTTAAAAAATAGAAGCTGGGCACAGTGGCTCATGCCTGTAATGCCAGCACTTGGGAGGCCAAGGTGGGTGAGGCCCATGAAGTCAGGAGATCGAGACCAGCCTGGCAAACATGGTGAAACCCCATCTCTACTAAAAACACAAAAATTAGCCAGGCATGGTGGCATGTGCCTACAGTCCCAGCTACTTGGGGGGCTGAGGCGGAAGGATCCCTTGAACCCGGGAGGTTGAGGCTACAGTGAGCTGAGATCGCGCCACTGCACTTCAGCCTGGGTGACAAAGTGAGACCCTGTCTTTAAAAAAAAAAAAAAAACAGAAAGAAAATAGAGCATTACTTCTCTAAAAATAACAAGTGAAGATTCACTAAATGTACCGAAAATAAATATAACCTATTATGTTCTGATTTTTATGCCTTTGTAAATATTTAATCAAGTACAAATAAAAGGCAACACCTATTAATTATACTAAAATTAGGAAATGTAGATAAGCAAAAAAAAAGAAAGTGTAAAAAAGAGAGTAGAAAAATCCATGTTCTTCCTTCTTCGATATATTTGTATATATAAAATACTTTTAATGACTTTGGAACACAAGAGTTTAATGAGTACTGCTAGAATTGGCGAAGGGAAAAAAAAATCTGATGCATTTAAGATTCCCACATCACTGGTAGGGTTATAAGTACCAAGTACAGCAAAAGACAAAAGGAACAGAAAGAAGAAAGTGAGAAAGGTTTGCTTTCATGATGTATCAGAGTAAGATTATGTGAAGACAGTAAGTCATATCATATGTAAACAAGTACAGAGTACCTGTTTGTGTGTATAGATACACGTGTATAGGATACATGTTTATATATGTAACATATCTCTCTCATCAGAAGGATAAATGAAACGTATTAGGAACAGGTCCCCCAACAGAATCAGGACGACTGAGATGATAATTTATAAAGAATGGTTCAGATTACTTACAGTGCTAATGTTACAGTAACAGTATAATAAAGTTATCAGTTAAAGTTCTACTAAAAGTATACAGAATACAAATACATTCGGATTTCTGTTTTAAGTCTTATAAGCCAACGAAATGAAAAAAAAAAAAAGAAACACCCCAGTTTATATACTAATATCACCTATTTATTAGACCTATGTTGCCACTTAACCTTTATATATTATAGGAAAATAACATATTTGCCTTCTCCCAAGTGTTTAAAAAATGCATGTAGAAATTTTCCAAATATGCATTATTTACCGAGGCTATTCACATTTTAAATTATTATTTACATATGCCTCCTTTGCTACTATGGAAATTGCCAGGTAATTAAATGTTACTTGAATGGAAAATATATTAGAAAAGGACAGAGGTTAAATCTAAGTGTTAGACATGATATCATCAAGCTTGTAGTCACTACTAACACATCAATCTGAAAACAATTTCTGGTCCACAGAAATTTCTTCCTTTATTATATCATCATTATTCAAGGATTACATAACTTTCATTAATAAAATTATTAATACAATAATATTCCAATTCTTGAAAGGCACACTGTCAGAGAGAATCAATAATAAAAAACAACACTGATTGGCAATATATTTTCTTACGGTAAAACTAAGTAAGTTATAGTGAAAAATACAAAATAATTTACATGCATAACTAATTAAGATTTGCCATAATTAGAAGTAAAAAAATTTACCTGACATAGAGGGATCGCTTCTGGCTAGTTCGAAGAGAACCTGACCCTGAACTAATACTACTATTCATCATCTGCTCCCGTAAATCATGTATTTTAGCTTCAAAACGACTGTATTCTGATGGAAGAAAAAGAGAAATAAATTGATATATTTTCAAAAAATAAGTTATTTGAAGATAACGTATTAAATATGTAAACTGTCCTATAATTGATTAAATGTGGTTAGAACCTTAAAATAGTAATATGCGAAAGATTTTGCCCAACACATAAATTTCAAAAAAAAATTATTAATAACCTAAATGTACCATAAATTAGAATTGGCTGAGTTAGAATTTTTCTACATGCTCTTTTAAAGTTTATACCACATTTAGTCAATTAAATGACAATTTCCATGCATCAGACAGCAGTAATCTTATATTACTGTTGAATTTAAGTGTAAATTTTAAAAATCAGGATTTATTCTAATTTTTATATTAAGGAAGAAACCTATAATAATAATTAATACACTAGATGCTTTGATTATTGACTTTTTCCCCTTGAGACAATCAGTTCATTTTACATACTTCAATATGGAACTTGTGCAGGGTCAACATTAAAGGGAAAAATATGCCTTAAACAAGTGATAAACAAAATTTATTTTAACTGATTTTATAATTTATAAATTATCAAAATTCAAGACACAAAAGCAATCTGAAGTAATATTTGTGAATATTTTTATTTAAAATATTTTTTATACAAAAATATGATTTTGAAAATGGACAATTTAAAGCTACATATTAAAAACTACTAAATCTATTAATGACAAAAGTTTAAGCACCTTTTCAAAAATATTGCAGTTACATGGTTATAAACACATATCTTTTTTCCCCTCTATTTATAACAAATTGCAGACAACTAGGTCATTTCAAATCTGAGTTTCTTATAAAGCCTGTCTTACAGCAAATAACTTCTCTGGGATTTTGTGTAGGTTAAGATGACAGAGTAAGAGTAAGCATGATTATTGTTGAGTTACTCTTTCTTTCACCATAATCATCAACTTTGTTTTACGGATAATAAGCTCAACTGAAGCAACAATTCATCAAAAAGCTTAGAAACATTTAAAATTCCACATTAATAATAAAATATTTTACTATCCTTTCAAAATTACAACAAAACACTTAAAATAAAAACATAAATAGCCTTAATAGTAGAATGTATCCATCATAATTAAATAAATATCAATCCATGGCAAGTTGTCTTTGGTATGTGTAGAAACAGCTAAACTATAGACTGATGAATGGAGATCATAAAAATATATCATGAGTTTATACTGGTTTTTCTAATGAAAAATTAGGACCACTGGGTTTTTACTTAAGCTCTCCTATTTTAGCGTTGTATCTGCTTTCTTGGATATGAGTAATTCTGGTTCTCAAGATAGTGGAGATAGCAGAATAAAAGTACCGGCATAATGACTTACTTGTTTTATCCAATATTACAACAGTGAATTAGACCACCAACACTACTACCATGATATGATTACTGTAAACAGTTAACTATTTCCTGTAGCTTTTAATCCTTAGGCTATAGCTAGAGATGTATGGTTGAATTATTGTTTTCTTTTTTTATTTTTAGAGACAGGGTCCTGCCCTGTTGCCCAGGCTGGACTACAGTGGCACAAGCATAGTTCACTGCAGGCTTGAGCTCCTGGGCTCAAGCAATCCTGCCTCAGCCTTCCGAGTAGGTGAGACCATCGTGTGCACCAACATGCTTGGCTAATTTTTAAAAAATTATTTTTGGTAGAGATGGCATCTTGCTGTGTTGCCCAGGCTGTTCTTGAACTCCTGGCCTCAAGCAGTCCTCTCGCTTTGGCCTCTCACAGCTCTGGGATCACAAGTGTGAGCCACTGTACCTGGCCAATTACCATTTTAAAATCACTTGGAATAGTTCCTTCCTGAGTATTACTGTTGCCAAGTGGATACACATTTAGATTCATTTGTACTTTATTTTCAACTTCAATTTGCCTTTAAAATTTTTCATTGATTTTATAAGTAGGTAAAATAACTCCACAGTCAAATCTATAAAACACAGGTATTTAAAAGTCCAGCTTCTATCCCTTTTTCTCATCCTATTCTGTCCTGATCCTTATATGTCAACATTTAAACAATATAAAGATACCCACAAACACGCAAATACATTTACATTTATTCCATATTTTTATATCTGTATATATGTGTGTATATATACACACAAACATCACAAGCATAATACATTTCTTTTCTTTTTGTTTTTTCAGACGGAGTTTCACTCTGTCACCAGGCTGGAGTGCAGTGGCGCGATCTTGGCTCACTGCAACCTCCGCCTTCTGGCTTCAAGCGATTCTCCTGCTTCAGCCTCCCAAGGAGCTGGGACTATAGACATGCGCTAACATGCCCAGCTAATTTTTGCATTTTTAATAGAGACGGGGTTTCACCATGTTGGCCAGGATGGTCTCAATCTCTTGACCTCGTAATCCGCCTGCCTCGGCCTCCCAAAGTGCTGGGATTACCCACTGTGCCCAGCCAACATTTCTCTTCTTTCTTAAACAGTAGAATACACATTTCCCTGCTTTGCTTTTTTCACTTAATAGTAAGTATATCCAGAAGATCACTGCACAATATAGAAAGATGTCATCCACGCTTTTTTTTTTTTTTACAGCAATATGCAGTCCTTTATTTTTAACCTTTACTTCTTTGTGGTAGGTATGACTCTTATGTACTGCACAGGGTTAAATTCTGCTTCATTAGCAAGCCTGAAAATTGTCTGCTTTTATGAATTAACTTTTGATATAACTGAAATTGTTCTCAGTTCTGTTCTTACCATCCTGTCTTATTTATTCAAGCTTTTAACATAAATAAACCAGTGGCAGATTATATTTTCCAAAGATGCCTGCATCCCACATGCTCTTGTACACT
Organism: Homo sapiens; assembly: GCF_000001405.40. Lineage (NCBI taxonomy): Eukaryota > Metazoa > Chordata > Mammalia > Primates > Hominidae > Homo > Homo sapiens. The sequence continues at coordinate 197,093,839 of NC_000003.12, forward strand.
GTGACCTTGCAATTTCCCCATCGACAGGTGGAATCTAATTCCCCTCTCCTGGAATCTGGGCTAGTGCTTTGGGTCATTTGTATGCCAAAAAATGTGAAAGTAATCCCGTATGACTTTCAAGGTCAGATTAGAAGAGGCCATGAAGCTTTTGCCTGGTTCTTCTGTAATGCTTGTTCAGTGGAAGCCAGATACCATGTAACAAGACTGTTCTAAAACCACCATACTGCAGAGGTCACATGATGGTGCTCTGAGCCCAAACTTCTAGCCAGTACCACCAACACATAAGACAAGGAGAGCAAAGCCAAACTGGGCCCTCCAAAGCAGCTCATTTGCCACCTAAGTCCCACTAAGTGACCTCAGTTGATGCCAGAAGGAAAACAAGAACCATCTGGCCAGAATCCTGCCTGAATTCCTAACCTACAAAACCTATTAAAAGGCTGTTTTAACCTATTAAGCTTGGGGTAGTATCTCATGAAGCAACAGTAACTGGAGCACAGTCTCACTATATGGTTTGTTCTTTTAAGTGTGTGTGTAACAATTCAGACACGCTTGTCCTTTTGTTCTAATGGCAAACTTTTGTTTGGCTTTTGTCTTTTGGTCTCCTCCTACAAGCAATCTTCCCAGATTGGATTGGAAATACTATCCTTTTATATCCAGTTAAAAACTTTAAAGCAATTAGGAGGCTTATTCTGTTTTCATATTATCCTCAAATTCTGTCCCCATTTTCTAATAATTGTACCTTATCAAAATTGTCAGAGCATATAGCTTTTTCATGTTATATACTCTCTTCCTTATAATCTTCTTCATTAATGCTAACACCAGTCCTTATGTCAGTATCTCTCCTCCTATCATTTTGGATGTCTGCAGGTTGTTCTCTCACCCCAGGAAGTGTTTATACGAACACTATCACTCTATTTGTTGATATATTTGATTCCAGTTTTTATATGTGAAAGTCTGTTTGATTCAGCTTCTTCCTTTATTGAGTATGTTCACTCCATTGTCTTCTATAAACTGAGAACAACGGAATTTTCTTTCTTTTTCTGCTGGGGGAGGGAAGTGGAATTCCAGATATTTTTTTCCTTTAAATCCTAATCATTTTATTATGGCATTTTGAAGTGTAGTTTGAAATAACTTTTTTAATTTTAGAAAAGATTTCTTGTCTATGCATTTTCTAGCATTGTTTTGGATTTCTTCCTAGGAGACTCCTATTACATGCATGTTGAATATTCTTTACCTACCTTCTATACCTGTCACTTTCAAATCTTTTGTTTCTTCTTACTAATTTTTTTTAAAGACTAGAGCAATCACAAACTGTTTTTCCTGAACCATTTGACAGCAATTTGCCTTCTTGATGTCTCATCATCCCTGAATACTTCAGTGTGTATTTCCTACAGATATTTTCCTATATAACTACAAAACCATCAAAAGTAACATTAATACATTACTACCATCTAATGCTCGGATCCCTATGAAGAGTCACCAGTAATGTTCTTTACAGCAAAAGGATCCATTTCAAAGTCATTTGTTGCATTTAGTTGTCACGTCTTTTTAGATCTTTGAGTCACAGCAGTTTCTCGGTGTTTCCTTGACTTTGTGACCTTAATACTGTTGGAGATTACAAGTCAATTGTTTTGTAGAATCTCTCTCAATTTGGGTTTGCCTGAAGTTCCCACACAATTAGATTGAAGTTATCCAACTTTGGCAGGAATATCACAAATGTTATGTTCTACCCAATACATCTGTATCAGGTGGTACACAATTTTGATTTGTCCCATCACCAATGTTATTAACTTTAATCGCTTGATAAAAGTTGTGTCTGCCAGGTTTCTCTACTGTAAAGTTACTTTTCCCTTTTGCAAATAAATTACTGAAACTGTGTACAATTCTCCATTCTCATCAAACTTTCAATTAATTCATTTATTTATATGAGTAAAAACTCATTATTTCCTACTTTATTCAGTGGGTTATAATCTGCCATTATTATCACCAACTGAATGCTGAGATTGCTCCTGATTTGGCCAGTGAGAGTCCCTTGAAGTTAGATTCTGGGTCCATTTGACATGTCTCCAACATTCCTTGAGTACTTGCTTGTTTTCTGGCAAAGGATATTATAGAACAATCTAGCATTTTCTTTGCCTGACTCCTGGGGAACCTGCCGTTTGTCAAAAAAGCCTTAGTAATTTCAGTGGGAAATAATATTTGCAAGGCAAGATCTGGATGCTAGGTGCTCACTGCTCTTGGGGTGGCACTAGGCTCAGGCCCTCTCAGTGGGCAGAGCCAGGGAAAATAACATACACACAGATACATACACACTGACGTAGATATTTATGTTTACATCTGTATCAATGGAAAACCATCCCTTCAAACCAACTTCTTCAGTTCTAATCCAGTATTACAGGATTCATGTTTAAGTTTTCTTCCCTTCCATATTTGTAACTCTCTTCTCAACAGTGAAAATTATGAATAACAATAACCTAACATATATATTAATTTGGTCAATCTGAATTTGAACAGCCATCCACTTCCCTGACTGGGCTCTGAGCATTCCCATATGTGCTTTCCTCACCAGCCCTCAGGCTCTGACTCCTGAAACCAAGGCATTACCCTGCATGGAAGCCAACCTCATGGGTAAGTCCAATGGGCCACCGAAAATCTCCTAAACCTCTCCAGATGTGAGGTGTAGATTAAACTATTTTTCTCTCCTCTACATAATGGCTTTAGGACTAAATTGATCAAGTTGTAGAAAGAGAAGGTCTATTTTTGCTTTACAAATTTTTCTTCTTTTTCACCTTCTTGGTTTAAGGAAGTATGTCTCTTTTAGTCAAATTTAGTTTTTAAAACAATGTTTTTATTTCTACTAATTTTCTGAGTTCTATCAACTTATTGATGTTGTTCTTCGACATACTCTATCATTTTTCTTTGTTTCAAAATATTAATTTTATTTTACACTAGCTTCATAAACTATATGTCTTTCTGGTACAGCTTGACTGTGGAGACATTACGCTAATCCTTATTTTCACTTTTCAAATAGGTTTCCATGGATTTGACTGTGATCTTTTCCTACTGCTCATTTTAATATGAAATTAGTTTTCCCCAACTTTTACATAGGAGTTACGAGTCAAGATAGGTTTTCTAACTTCACAGCTCTAGAACTCTCTATTTTGTTGTTTCTCTCAAGTGTTTAAAGACATGACCTCAGACACTGTGAGATTTCCTGAAACTTTACTTACCCCCATTAATCTGAACCTTCTATTTCCTTTGGCTCTATTATCCCTATCCTACTCAATTTGGATTTTATTCCCAGCAGTTCTTCCTTAGTGTGGGGCTTTAAATGGAAAGGGAACTACAGCTGGTTAACTGTGTCATAGGGCCCAGACTGCTCGTGGCCCCTTCATATCTTAGTGTAGATTCCTTGCACTCAACATGCAGATTGTACAAAAACTCTTATAGTTCACTTGGTGTTCTCAAATTTACCTACTGCATTTTCTTGTGAGGACTGGTTAACATTGGGCTTCTCCTGTTGCATCCCCTTGCACAGATGCTGATATCAGATGGTCTTGTAGCTGTTAATACCTTGTTTACATCAGCTTATATTTGGGGTTCATAGGATATCTTTCATCTTTTTGTCTAGTTTTATTGTAGATTTTTAACAAATTTTGGTTTGGCTTTCCTAATTTTTTTGAGGGAGAGGAGGAGTTTTGGGCGATTCAGTTTTAAATCTACTATCTTTTTTTGTACTTTCTTTTTTTTTTTTTTTTTTGAGAGAGAGTCTCGCTCTGTCATCCAGGCTGGAGTGCAGTGGCGCGATCTCGGCTCACTGCAACCTCTGCCTCCTGGGTTCAAGTGATTCTCCTGCCTCAGCCTCCTGAGTAGCTGGGATTACAGGCGTGCACCACCACGCCCAGCTAATTTTTGTATTTTTAGTAGAGACAGGGGTTTCACCGTGTTGACCAGGCTGGTCTCAAACTCCTGACCTTGTGAGTCGCCCACCTCAGCCTCCCAAAGTGCTGGAATTATAGGCGTGAGCCACCGCGCCCAACCCTCTTTTTGTATTTTCTGTTAGTCTCACTGGTTTATGTTTCTATTATTTTACTTCCTAGAAAACAACTAGGAAGTGATGACTTTTCAATATTACCTTTGTTTTTAATTTTACTATTTTAAATATAATTTATTTGTATTTCTGTATAATTTTATTTTTAATAAAGGCTATGTTTTAGTTTGAAAAATATCTGAAAATTTAACTGGCTCTCCCAAGCCCGTACGCTGTTGCTCTTGAAACAAAAGAGACTTCTCTGCTTCCTTAGCCCTGAGTTCCGAGTTCCTAGTTTCCCTTCATGTTTTGTTTGCTAATTCCTTAAAAGTTCTGCAATGCTTTTTAAATAAGATGTGTATTACATTTCATGTAGCATTATTAGTTTTTAGCAATTTTGCTGATCTGATTAATAGAAGTCCTAGTGATTTAAGATAGTCTACATTTTAGAAATTTAAAAGCTTTCTGTGTAAAAAGAACACATTACTTTTTAGTGATGCAGAAAAATATTCTTTCTTAATGAGTAACTAAGTTACTACAAAGCAGTTAACATAGTCTCAGATATTAAAAATTTAAGATACTGAAGAGCTAAGTCAATTCCTGATAATTTCTTAAATTTGTGATCTATTTCTTTCACTGTATTCAGATCTTCATATTTATAGTCTTTGCTTAGAGTCTTCCCACCCGCCCCCACCTCGCTCTGTTGCTCAGGCCGGAGTGCAGTGGTGCAATTCCGGCTCATCGCAGCTTCTGCCTCCTGGGTTCAAGTGATTCTTGTGCCTCAGCCTCCTCAGTAGCTGAAATTACAGGTATGTACCACCATGCCTGTTTAATTTTTATGTTAGTAGAGACAGAGTTTCATCAAGTTGGCCAGGCTGGTCTTGAACTCCTGCTTTCAAGGGATTTGCCTGCTTTGGCCTCCCAAAGTGCTGGGATTACAGGCGTGAGCCATTGCGCCTGGCCAAGTCTTTGCCTTACTCTTAACAATTCCTCACAGCTACCTTTCTATATGTTCAAAACATACTTCGGCATTTTAAAGTTACTTTTCCTTTAAACCTTCTATTTCATTTACCTACTTAAGATTCCTACCTTTTCCTTTTGTTTCAATCAATTGATACTTTTAGTCCTATCAGTCTCCACATTTTACCTATCCTGTGTATATTTTCGTAAATACTCCCACCAACATATTTTTGTTTTGTTTTTAAGGTTTTTTTGGAGACAGGCTCTTGCTCTGTCATCCAGGCTGGAGTGCAGTGGCACGATCATGGCTCATAGTAGCTCTGACCTCCTGGGCTCAAGCAATCTTCCTACCTTAGCCTCTCAAGTAGCTGAGCCTACAGGCATGCATCACTATGCCCAGCTCATTTTTAAAATTACTTGCAGCGACAGGGTGTCCTATGTTACCCAGGGGATCTTCAACTCTTAGGCTCAAGTGATCCTCTTGTCTCAGCCTCCCGAAGTGCTAACCACTACACCTATTTTCTTAAATTTTTATTTTGACGGAAGAGTTTCATCCCTTTTTTCAGTTAAGTCATTTACACTCCTCTCCTAGAATTACATCAAAACTCAGCAAAGCTATAATTTTACATAAGAGATTTTCTCCATTCAACATCTCAAAAATTCCTGTATCAAACCATATTTCTTGTCATGAAACGTATTAGGACGTATCTGAACTGCTGGCTACAAGTTAGTATGTATACGCTTATACAAGGAGAGATATTTAAAAGCTGATTTTTTCATTTGATATCCCCTTTCAAATTTTAACCTTTGTTTTCACCGCCACACTAGAAGTAAAAAGTGAGGAAGGGGTATGGGGGAAATTGGACTTCCTCAATCTCTTCTTAACATGCAATCCCTATAAAGAAAAACATTCATTTATAACTGTAATAAAATACATTAAACACAGATATTAAACCCAAGAGAAACAATTCTCAGAGGATGGATACTATTAATTGGCCTAAAGAAAAAGGGAAACTATTTTTAAGAAGGCCAGTTAGTTGTTTTAAGTACAATAGCTCTCTGGCATACTCGGAGGATTAGTTCCAGAACCCCACGTATACCAAAACCCGTGCATGTTCAAGTCTAACAGGAGGCCTTGTGGAATCTGACAGGCATATGGCATTTTCTATCCCAGTTTGGTTGAACAGCACGTGCGTAAGTGGACACTCGCAGTTCAAACCTGTGTTGTTCAAGGGTCAACTGCAGCACAGGCGCGTAGAAAAATACAGCAAGGGAAGTGGGAAAGCAGGAGACTGAAAAAAATTTTAATTACCTATCTACTACTGAAAATGATAAGAAATGACAAATGTCTGCAAATAAATGCCACTAGTCCACTGCAATCTTCCCAGATTATCTCCACCTCTTCTCCCTTTGGTTGGTATAAGAAGTAATAATGAAAATAAAGTCAGGACACTGGGTGTTAGAAATCTACCTTTGTAACTCAAGATTTCAATCAAAGCTTTGAAGCGCAGAAAAGTTAAGTGACTATGGCCTAACCTCTCTAGACTCTGGTCACTTGCAAAATAGGGATTATGCCACCAAACAGTTTTTTTCTTGCGAAAATAAAATATGTCACAAATATAAGACCTAACCAATGGGAAAGAGAAAATAAATTTAACTTATATATTGAGTTTCTTTCCAATTTATTTCTTTTATGGTATTATTACAATATAATTAATGCTTTCTGAACAAAAGATTGAGATATAAGCTCTGAAAGTTGGCCTAATACTCTTGAGGAACAATAAGATTAAATATTTGAGGTGAGAGATTCCAAGAGTTTAATGAGTAGTTGAAAGAGTAAGAACAGGGTATGGAGACCCACCCAGAACCCCAGAGTTGCCACAAAGATTTTAAGCTGAAGATATCTGAGATTCAACAGATGCAGGAAAAAAGCCTTCTCGGAGTTTCTCTAATCTGACTAAAAGGTGCAGCTTCCGAGAAATGAAGTTACCATAAATACCCTCTGAGGAGTCTGATGGCCCCGAAGAATGGAAAGACCAGTCATACCAGTTTAGACAAATGTCATCACAAACTTTATCCCCCATCTCTTCTCCTAAAAACTTGTCTTTCCTGAAGAAATGTACGTTTTTCTAATAAAAGCTGTTTCTCCCTCCTTCCTTTCCCTACTAGATTAGGTGTACAAGCTTTTAACTTCATCCACAAGCTAGCTTCAGTATTTCTTCTGTTGCCTCTTGCATCCATATACAAGAAACTTTTTTTCCATGTTAATCTGTTTTTTTTGTCAGTTTACTTCACAGGCCCGTTACTGAACATACAAGGGTGGAGGAAAAGGTTTTTCTTCGCTTAAAAGGGGCTAGAAGAAATCTTAACCGTTTAACAGTTGTGTAACTAGCAAATTACTTGGTCTCTTTATGGAAGAGCTTATTCAACTACAACGTAAAACGGGGATAACGGTGCTTACTTACAGGATTATCTTGGGAGTTAAAAGAGTGAATAAACATAACATGGTTCGTATCATGCATGGCGTACAGTTTTACTATTATATACTATCACAGGAGATTCTTTTTTTTTTTTTGAGACAGAGTCTCGCTCTGTCGCCCAGGCTGGAGTGCAGTGGCGTGATCTCGGCTCACTGCAAGCTCGGCCTCCCGGGTTCACGCCATTCTCCTGCCTCAGCCTCGCGAGCAGCTGGGACTACAGGTGCCCGCCACCACGCCTGGCTAATTTTGGTTTTGTATTTTTAGTAGAGACGGGGTTTCACCGTGTTAGCCAGAATGGTCTCTATCTCCTGACCTCGTGATCTGCCCGCCTAGGCCTCCCAAAATGCTGGGATTACAGGCGTGAGCCACCGCGCCTGGCCAAGAGATTCTTAAACTATAGGAAGTATGTGATAAAACTTTATAACTTTGGGATATGGAGTCCAAAACGAGTATAGTATTATATTTCCAGTTCCCATGTTCGATTATTTTTATTTTTATTTTGAGACGGGGTCTCACTCTGTCGCCCAGGCTCAAGTGCAGTGGTGAGATCATAGCAATCCTGCCTTGGCTGGGACTACGGGTGCGCACTACCACGCATGGCTAATTAAAAAACTTTAAAAAAAGTTTTAGCAGAGACAAGATCTTGCTATGTTGCCCAGGCTGGTCTCGAACTCCTGGGCTCAAGTAATCCTCCCACCTAGGCCTTCCAAAGTGCTGGGATTAGAGGCCTGAGCCACCACGTCCAGCTAATTTCTGATAATGATTCTCCAAAAAGATTAACAGTAAAGGCCCCCCAAAGTGAATTATTCCTTGCCTTTGGAATTAATAAAACTGAAAGGAGTTAGAAGATAATGTTCCTTCATATGTCTTGTAGAGATTATTTTTTCTCATAATCAGAATCCAAGTCAAGAAAGTTCAAAGTACACAAGCTGAAAAACCCATAAAAGTACTTTTTTGGAAGACTAATAAGGCAAACCATAGATCCTGAAAGATAAAAAACTTAATTCTACCAAAAGCTTACCTTTGTCTCTATCTGTCTGTCTTGTATGTATATATATAAGATTATCAACAAGGCAGAGAATCCCAAGCCTTTAGGAAAGATACTAACTGCAAGATGCTGATTATCAGAGTGTCGGATGACTCCTTTTGTACTTCTTAAAATCCGATTTGTGTTAATGTTTTTGTGTTGTGTGTGCGTGTAGCTAACCTGTTACTAAGCTTTGATGCTTTTCCCCACCTCTTATTATCTTTGTATGAATGTGAGGCTACTTTTAAATTACTTATTACTGGGGCTGGGGGCTGTGGCTCACGCCTGTAATCCCAGCACTTTGGGAGGCCGAGGCAGGCAGATCACCTGAGGTCAGGAGACCAGTCTGGCCAACATGGTGAAACCCCGTCGCTATTAAAAATACAAAAATAAGCCGGGCGTGGTGGCAGGTGCCTGTAATCCCACCTACTTGGGAGGCTTGAACCTGGGAGGCGGAGGTTACAGTGAGCCGAGATTGTGCCACTGCACTCCAGCCTGGGCAAGAGAGTGAAACTCCATCTTAAAACAAACAAAAAAAATTACTTATTACTTTGCTAGATTTTGCTAGAGTAGCTATTCCAGAAAGTCGAGGGGTGCAGGAAAGATAGAGGCACAGGACATTTTTACAGGTTTTAAAACCCAAATACTGTCACATTATCTGATCCTACAGAGGCAGGCTGCTTTATCCAAATACGGGTCCTCTGCTTTTCTAAACCAAACCACATTATGAGTGAAATTTTATACCATATCCTAAATTTGTGCCATCACAAACATTCTCAACATTCCATATTTTAACTCTTCCCCTCTTTCCGTGTGGCTTCTGCAAGACCTCAGCTGCTTAAGGAGTCTTTACCTCTACTTGGTTGTCCAGGTATCATACCTGCCTTCTTAGTTTTAGTTAATATTAAGTGAAGTTGTGTGGGTAGGAGCATGCGTGTATGTTTTGTTTTTCTTACTGCTTTTGTGTGTTCTGTGTGTTTTGAGGTTAGGGAGCAGATATTAAGTTACCCGTAACCATACCTAAAAAGTTTATATTCCTTATAAACATATAAATGAGAGGCTGTCTATAATACTAAGGAACCAGTGACTGTAACTCGGCTTCCATATAGTGTACCTACGGGGTGGAATATGTTGGCCAGAAGATAAAAGTACAACATAGGGTCCCATTGGCAGATTTGTTTCTCACAAAAATTAACGAATTGACATTCTGACTTCATACGTTAGTCTCTATTGTTTGGTTAATGTGAATTAATATTCAGAATTTACTCCCAATTAAACAAATTTTCCCCTGTTTAGTTACTAAGCCTAAAAGGCCAAGGTTTTACTAGATTGATAGAACCTCCCATACTTAAGAAAGACCAAGCAATGCTCAACATGCTGCTTTGATCAGCTAAAAAACATACTAGATTAAAAAAGAAATTCTGCTTCAAAAAAGAATAAATGTAATTAGTTGATAAATTACAGAATTACTCATTTAGCTCCTTTACTCACATCATCTTTTCCTTATTCATCATGTTGTTTATGAGCATCAACAAATATGCTATGTATTCTTTTGGGTATTTAAGCTTTCTAAATTCCACTGAGGTTTTATTGGAGATGTGGTTATGCTGATGTACACTAGAGTCTTACATATGTTTACTATGGCATGACCTCAAATTCTCCATCACCACCTTCTTCCCCCAGGAACTTAGTAAAGTCACATCCACCATACTTCACCATCTAGACACACAGTATACTCCAAACTTGGCATTCTTCTCTTTATTTTAAATAGCGGCAGTAACAGCTATTAGAAACATGTCTTAAATCTTGATATTAATAATTATAACCTAATTCAAAAGCTAGAAAAAATCTGGGTGACCTAATTTTTTTGGGCATTATTACTATATCTGCTTATGGTTTTTATTATTTTTTCAGATCAATAAAGTAGTAAAAGGGACATTAAAAGCTATGTCTTCAGTTACAGAACAGATTTAAAAAAGTAAACAGTTAAATTAACCCACATAATGGGGGTTTTGTGGGTTAAGCTTGTGGATGCCAGTTCCCACATCATTAAAAAATACTTTTGGCAGGGTGCAGTGGCTCACACCGGTAATCACAGCACTTTGGGAGGCTGAGGTGGGCGGATCGCCTGAGGTCAGGAGTTTGAGACCAGCCTGACCAACATGGAGAAACTCTATCTCTACTAAAAATACAAAAAATTAGCCGGTATGGTGGTGCATGCCTGTAATCCCAGTTACTTGGGAGGCTGAGGCAGGAGAATCACTTGAACCTGGGAGGCAGAGGTTGCGGTGAGCTGAGTTCGCACCACTGCACTCCAGCCTGGGCAGTAAGAGTGGAACCCCGTCTCAACAAACAAAAAACAAAAACCAAAAAAAACCAAAAAAACAAACAACTTTTGATCTGGAAAAAGAACTAGGTTCAGACTAAACAAATACTGGATTAGCAAATCAGAAAAAAAGCACAAAAAAGGAAGTTTAGCTTGGAAGTTAAACATTATTAAATATTAAAGAGGAAGAATTTTAAAAACTAAAATAAGCAATAACTATAGACAATAAGAATGTTATTACCTTCAGGTCGATATTGTGCAACAATTGTGACAGCCTGGCCAGCATTTTTCAATGCAGCTGCTGCCTGCTCATGACTAGCAGCTCTGAGGTCAACACTGTTTACCTGTAAATCAAACCAAATCTTAATTTGGGAGAAAAGAATCACTGTGATTAGAAATCACAATAGTCTATTCTTTGAGTAAGCATGTATTAAAAAATTAGTTGCAATAACTTTACCACTAAAATGTTTCTTGTTCTGATTGACTAAAAATATATTGTGTAGTAAAACAAAATATTATCATTCAAAGCTATTTTATTTACTAAAACCACCTTGCTTAATGTCAAGTTAGTAAAACCAAAACATTTTCCCCTAGAAGGCTGGGTATCAATCCATTGAGAAATGTACCTTAATTTGAGAACCTGAAAAATCAAGTGGCATCATTTTGCACACTTTATTTTGCTAGGAACTCAAGCAATGGGAGGGAAAGTCATTTTGCTTGTAGCATCCATTTACCTCCTGCCACATTCTCACGCCTACTGCTCAATTCAGTTCCAATTATTTTTCTTCCTGTACAAACTAAAACTTCCATTCTTTTGGTATAATAGGAAAGCTATTATTTAGAAATATTAAAACAGCTCAGATTTCAAGGACTGATTTAATTAGAATAAATGTTAATTAAATGAACCAGGAGTTATTTTTTGAATTAAGAGCCCTTCCTTAGGTGAAATAATTATCCAATTCTACCAGTAGGTACAATCCTACTCCAGAAGAAGAGGCAACTTAATTCTTATTTCTCAAAGGTTACCAATACTTTGCGCGCATATATACATATATAGTGCAAGGTACATTATCTTAAGAGATTGTTCCTTTTCCACAATAAGACAAACTTAAGAGGACATTCATGGAAGCATTATACTTGAATGTAATAAACTTTAAATACCGAATTAAAAAAAATTAAGAAGCAACAATGAATAGAATATGGCAATGTTCAGGACCTTCACTGAAAATTTTTGGAAAGGAACGATCATCATGCAATTTTTACACAAAAACTTGTTTTGTTGAGAACTAATCTAAAATCTGTTAAAGATCACATATCACTTTTAAAAAATTTGACTATGAGCCCAGAAATTCTTGGGATCATAAATTTACATAAAGAACATTTTAACCATATAAAGATCTGATGTTTTATATTATCTAAAAAGAAACCATTATGCAACTAAATTTAAATACATACCCCTTGAGGCTGGGCATGGTGGCTCACACCTGTTATCCCAGCACTTTGGGAAGCTGAGGTGGGTGGTTCACTTGAGGCCAGGAGTCTCAGACCAGCCTGGCCAACATGGCAAACACCTGTCTCTACTAAAAATACAAAAATTAGCCGGGCATGGTGGTGTGTGCCTGTAGTCCCAGCTACTCAGGAGGCTGAGGCATGAGAATCACTTGAACCTGGGAGGCGGAAGTTACAGTGAGCTGAGATCACATCACTGTACTCCAGCCTGGGTGACAGAGAGAGGGACGCTCTGTCTCCAGCCAGCCCCCCCCACCCCCCTCAATGAAAACCAAGATCTAAAATCCATAACATAAACAAATGTAAACAATGTGGTTATTAGTATCTCCAGCTGATGATGGCCATATAAAACTCAATACAATGTATAAACAGTTCTACTTAGTGCATAAAGAAAATCCTCCCAATTCCTGGGAGAACATATCAGGCAAGAAATATAAAGAAAGACAGGTTTTTCACAGATTATTGTAGAAAAGATTAAGAATGTTAATGAATTATTTCTGTGCACCAAACTCTTTTAAGAGCATAATTTGTTGAACAAAACTACATATTAAAGACTTTCCAGACTATCACTGAACATTTCAATTGAAGATACATTATTAAGGATATTTTAGAAGAAATTCCAGTACTGAGAGAGATACTTGTATAAATAGCCTTAGAGTCACTTTTTTTCTTTTACACCGACATTTTTAAAAATGGAGAAATAATTCGCATACCATAGAATTCACATTTTTAAAGCATATAGTTTAGTGGTTTTTGGTATATTTGCAAGTCTGTGCAACCATCATTACCACCTAATTCCAAAATATTTTCATTACCCCAAAAAGAAACTCTGTATCCACTGACAGTCACTCCTGTGTCTCCTCTCCATCCCTGGCAACTACGAAGCTACTTTCTGACCATACTGTACATATACCTATATATACCTATTCGGTATATTTCAAATAAACGGGATATATAATATGTAGCCATCTGTGCTTGGCTTCTTTCACTTATTTTCCAGGTTCACCCTTGGAGCATGTATCAGTACTTCATTCCTTATATTTAGTGGCGCTAAATAATGCGCCACTAAAATCCATTAAAAATGGATATACTGGCCAGGTGTGGTGGCTCACGCCTGTAATCCCAGCACTTTGGGAGGCCAAGGCAGGCAGATCACGAGGTCAGGAGATCGAGACCTTCCTGGGTAACATGGTGAAACCCTGTCTCTACTAAAAATACAAAAAAATTAGCCGGGCGTGGTGGCAGGCACCTGTAGTCCCAGCTACTTGGGAGGCTGAGGCAGGAGAATGGCGTGAAGCTGGGAGGCGGAGCTTGCAGTGAACAGAGATTGCGCCACTGCACTCCAGCCTGGGCGACAGAGCAAGACTCTGTCTCAAGAACAAAAAACAAAAAAACCAAACCCAAAAAAAAAAGGATATACCACTTTTGTTGATCCATGTCCTTAAATTTATACTTAAGTATTTTATTCTTTTTGATAGTATTATAAATCAATGTTTTCTTTGTCTATCCTGCAAATTTAACTGAACTCATTTATTAGCTTGACAGTCTGTTGTTGTATTTCTTAAGATTTTTTCTATACAAGATTATGTCATCTGCAAACAGAAATAGTTTTCTTGCTTTTTATTCTGGTAGCCTTTTTTTTTTTTTAATCTTGCCTAATTTCTAGAACCTCCAGGACAATGTTGAATAGAAGTAGGAAGAGCAGATACCCTTGTCTTGTTCCTGATTTTAGAGGGAAAGCTTTCAGTCTCTCACCATTTAGTATGATGTCAGCTATAGGGTTTCCAGAGATACCCTTTAACAGGTTGAAGTTCCCTTTTATTCCTAGTCTATTTAGTGTTCTTATCATGAAAAGCTGTTGGTTTATGACAATTGCTTTTTCTGTGTCTACTGAGATATCATGTGCTTTATGTCCTTTATTAAGATGGTGTCTTACTTTGATTGGTTTTTCTATGTTGAACTAACCATGCATTCCTTGAATAAATTCCATTTGGTTATGGTACATCATCCTTGTTCATGCTGTTGGATCCAGGTTGTTATTTTGTTGATTTTTACATCTATATTCATATGGGATATTGGTTTGTAATTTTTTCTTCTTGTGATGTCTTTGGTTTGGTATAAGGATAATACTGGCCACACAGAATGAGCTGGAAAGCATTCCTCATGCTTATTCCTTTTTGGGGAAGAGTTTGTGAATGATTGGTGTTAATTCTTTAAATGTTTGGCAGAATGTACCAGTGCAGCCATCTGGTCCTGGGATTTTTGTGTTTTGTTAGTTTTTGATTACTAATTCAATTTCCTTGTTTTAAATCTATTAAAATTCTCTATTTCTTCTTGAGTTAGTTTCAGTAGTTTATGTCTTTCTAGAAATGTATTGGTAATTAGAGTATATAACTATAAAATATATACCATCTATGACTACATAATGATATACTATAAATGTCTTTCGCCTTTAGTAATAATGTTTTTCTTCAAGCGTCCTTTGATATTAGTCATATTAGTACAGCCACAGTAGGTGTCTTTTGGTTACTTTTTGTGTAATGCATCTTTTCCACCCGTTTACTTTCAACCTTTTTGTGTCTTTGAGTCTAAAGTGTCTCTCTTGTAGACCCTGTGTAGTTGGATTCTGTTTTCTAATCTACTTTATCAACATCTTTGGCCTTTTAACTGGAGTGCTTAATCTGTTTATATTTAATATAATTACTGATAATGTAGAATTTACTTAATTTGGTTATTTGTTCTATGTCTTTTCTTTCTCTATTCCTCAATTACTGCATTATTTTTATATTAAATAGATATTTCCTAGTGTACCATTTTAATTCCCATGTCATTAATTTTACTACATATATTTGTTAGTCATTTTCTTAGTGGTTATCTTGGATTATAAGTAAAAATTTAAAGCCAGATGTGGTGGTTCTAGACTGTAATCCCAGTGACTCAGGTGGCTCAGGCAAAAGGACTGAAGCAGGAGCATCACTTGAGTACAACACTTTGAGGGCTGGCTAGGCATCACAGTGAGACCCTTATCTCTAAAAAAATAAAGAAAACAATTCAGCCAGGTGTAGTGGTGCATACCTGCAGCCCAGCTACTCGGGAGGCTGAGGCACGAGGATTGCCTGAGTAAGTTTGAGGCTGCAGTGAGCTATGACTGTGCTACTGCACTCCAGCCTGGGGGACAGAGTGAGATGCTGCCTCTAAAAATAAATAAGTAAACAAACAAACATTTTATAAGAACCTAGTTTCTTTACCCGCCTTGTGGTGTTGTCATATTAATTTTATGTTTATACGATGTGTGCACATCAAATTTGTAATTATTGCTTTATTCAGTTGTTTTTAAAATCAGGTTGGAGAAAAAAAGAGTTGCATATAAAACAATACCCTTATGTTGTTTTATATTTACCTGTGTAGTTGCCTTTACTTAGGCTCTTTATTTCTTCATGTGGATTTGAGTTACTCTCTAGTTTCCTTTCATTTTAGTCTGAAGGATTCTCTTATTTCCTATAGGGCAGGTTTTTGAGAGATGAACTCCTTCAGCTTTTGTTTATCTGGCAATGTCCTGATTTCTTCTTTATTTTCAAAAGATAGTTTTGCTGGATATAGAGTTCTAGTCAACAAAGTTTTTTTCTTTTCAGAATTTTGAATTTGTTATTTCACTGCTTTCTGACCTCCATGGTTTCTGATGAGAAATCAGCTATTAACCTTGTTGAGGATCCCTTGCACGTGGTGAGTCATTTCTTTTTGCTACTTTCAATATTCTGCCTTCGGCTTTAGACAGTTCGATTGTAATGTGTCTATGTTGTAGATCTCTTTAAATTAATTTAACTTGGAGTTCACTGAGGTTCTTGGATTAATGGTTTTAATCAAGTTCTAGAAGTTTTTGGGCGAGTATTTATTCAAATATTCTTTCTTCTTTTTTCTCTCTTTCCCATCTTTCACATACTCCCATTATGTTGGTAAATTTGATAGTATCCCATAGGTCTCTGAAGCTGTTAATTTTTCTTCATTCTTTCTTTCTTTGTTATTGTTCAGTTCTTCAGCATCAAAATCTCAATTGACCCATCTTCAAGTTTGCTGATTCTTTCTTCTGCCAGCTCAAATCTGCTGTTGACCTTGTCTAGAGAATTTTTCATTTAAGTTACTGTACTTTCCAACTCCAGAATTTCTATTTGGTTCTTACATATAATTTCTAACTCTTTATTGATATTTTTTACATGGTGAGATATTGTTCCTTTACTTTCATGTCAGTCTACAGGATGGTTTTCTTTTATTCCTTGAACGTATTTAAAATACCTGGTTTAATGTCTTTGTTTAGCATGTTCAATGTCTGACCTTCCCTAGGAACGATATCCATTGATTGCGTTTTTCTCCTGTATATGGGCCATACTTTTCTTTCCGCTTGTCTCAAAATTTTATGACGAAAAATAGGCATTTAAAATAAATATAATACGGCAACTCCAGATAGCAGAACTGTCCTCTTATCTACGCTTGTCATTGCTGTCTGTTAGTGACTTTTCTTAATGTTATAAAGTCCGTATTCTTTGTTGTGTGTGGCCACTGAGGTCTCTGTCTGGTTAGCTTAGTGGTTAATGACTGAATACATATTTCCTTAAATACCTGAAACTTACAAATCTTCCACTCTTTTCCAAGGGCTATATGTGCATTTTGGGGCCCACCTTTAACACTCAGATAAGCAATTAACAACTGCCTTAAATCGCTTGCACAGAGGCTCATGATCAGGTAGAGGTGAGAGTTTAAGGCCTTTTCTAGTCTTTCCTGAGCATGCGCACAGCCCTGAACATGTGTGTGGCCTTCTGGTTCCAAGGATACACGGAGGTTTTCAAAGGCCTTATGGAGAATTCACTCCTCCAATTTTCCTTTTAAGTTTATTGATCGGTCTACTATTTCCTAGTGCTTTTAGGGCATTTCCCTAGAGAAGTTCAGTAAGCATTAAAATTTTAAGGTTACTGATGCATATTGCTAAACATAATGCTGTATTTAACTGCACTCACATTAGGGTGAGCTACTTCCCTGGACTAGCTGAGACTTCCAGTTTTAGAATCAAGACCAAAGGGTTTCCAGACATGGGGCATTCAGTTCTAAAACCATGAATGTTCTGGGTGAACTAGGTTGAGTTGGTTGGTCTCACACACTTTAGCACTGTATCAATGACCTATCTAAAGTGGTTCCAAAGGGACAATTTAAAAACATCTATTACTGAACTCTAGGCTAAACGAAAATTTATTTGGACACAAAGTGTGAAGTGAGGCTCTAAGCTAATTTTATTTCCCTAAATAACTAGGTAATATGTTCAACAATATTAATCTTTTAAGTCCATTCCCTACCACTAAGTTTTCCTTATCATACTGTAACTTAAATAAATTACAGTATATTTTACAATGAAATGTAGAAATTTGAACAGCTCAGCTGAAAGGATTTTGCTAACCATAAAAATCATGAAACCACTACCCCAGACAAGACATGTATCTTTTCCACCGATGTTCAACTGTGCACTTCTATAGTCAGTCCCAATCACTGGCAACCACTTTCTGACTTACAGCACCACAAGTTAGTGTCACCTGCTCTTGATTATCATGTAACTGGAATTATATAGATTGTATTTTTGTTATCTGTTTTGCTCAACATACTTGTTTTGTGTTTCAGTAGTTGTTCCTTTTAATTGCTGAGTAGTATTATATTGTGTAAACATACCACAATTTAGCAATTGTCCTGCTGATGGAAACCTGGGTCATTTCAAGGTCTAGATTATTATGAATAAGGTTGTTAAGAATGTTCTTGTCAAAGTGTTTTTGTTGATGTATGCTTTCATTTGTCCTGGGTAAAACCTGGGTGATAAGATTAGATGTATGTTTAACTTCTTAAAAACCTTCCCAAAAGTTCTTGTAGTGGTATACCATTTACACGTCCACTAGTAGTGAATGAGGGTTGTAGCTGCTCCACATCCTCATCAATGAATGTTGTTATTTTTTTCTTTTGTTGTTCAACTAAGTGGGATATAGTATTTCATTACGACTTCAAGAATACCTATTTTTATCTAGGCATAATCAATCTTCTTTAGTGTATAGTTAAGTTTTGGCAAATGTGAATTTCGTGCAGCCACCCACAATCAAAATATAGAACAATTACATCACTCTTATTCAACTCCCTACAAACCTCTTCATTCACTGCGGTTTGTGCACTTCTCTGATGCCTAATGTTAAGCACCTTTTCATGTGCTTACTGGCCATTCACATATCTTTTGTGCTGTACCTGCTCAAGTCTTTGGTGCATTTTTAATTGGGTTATTCATCTTTTTATTGTTGATTTGTAGGAGATATTTATATATTGTGGATACAAGTAGTATGTCATGTATGTGCTGAGAATATTTTTTACCACTGTGTGGCTTGCCTATTTGGTTTTTTTCTTTCTTTTTTTTTGAGACAGGGTGTTGCTCTGTTGCCCAGGCTGGAGTGCAGTGGTGGGATCAAAGCTCACTCACTGTAGCTTCAAACACCTAAGCTCAAGTGATCCTCCTGCCTTAGCCTCCCAAGTTGCTGGGACTACAAGTGCCCACTACTATGTCTGGCTAATTAAAAAAAAATTTTTTTTTTAAAGATGGGGTCTTGCTATATTGATCAGGCTGGTCTCAAACGCCTGGCCTCAGGCGATCCACCTGCCTCAGCCTCCTGAGTTACTGGGATTATAAGCAAGAGTCACGTCACCCAGCGTATTTGGTTTCTTAATGTCATCTTCTTTATGGTTAGTGTTTTATGCATTTTGTCCAAGGAACTGTTACCTACTCTAGGCCTGTGAACATAGTCTCTGATATTTTCTTCTAGGAAGATTATGGTTCTGAGTTTTATATTTAGATCTATAATCCATCTAGAATTAAATTTTATGTCTGGAGTAAGACTGGTTTAGGTTTATAATTTTATATACAGATATCTAGGTATTATAGCACCATTTGTTAAAAAGATTTTCCCTTCTCTATTGAACTGACTTGGTGGCCCTCTGGTACTATTTAAGAAATTTGTCTAATCCATATTTACTAAGATTTTCTTGTATGTTTTCTTTTAGAAGTTTAGTTCTATGGTCCATTTCAAGTTAATTTTTCTATACAACATGAAGTAAGAAATGAGATTCTTCTTCTTTTCCTTGTGTCTACTTGTTCTATCAATTAAAGAAGAGGGCATTTAAATCTCCAAATGTGACTGTAGATTTGTCCATTTCCTTCCTTAGTTCTGATAATTTATACTTCATGTATTTTGAAAGTATTACTAGGTATGTCTTCTTGATGAAATGACACTTTTATCTTTCTCGCTGCTTTTATAATTATGAAATCTATGTATAATAACATTATTTGTCTTAAATTCTATTTTGTCTCATATTAAGACAGTAGCTTTAGTATGCTATTTGCATAGTGTACCTTTTTTCACTTTTACTTACAACCCATGAACCTTTATATTTAAAGTAAATTTCTGATAAACAGTATATAGTTTGGTCTTGCTTTTTTGAACCAAGCCGACAATTTCTGTATCTTAAAATCGTAGCTTTTAAGATTAGATAAAGAAAATTTAAGCTGCTATAGTTTCAGATTAGATATAGATAAGATATAGTTAAGATACAGTTATAGGTAAGGTATAGATAAGATGTAGTTTCAGATTAGATATAGATAAGAAAATTGAAGCTGCTACAGTTTCAGCTTCTTGGGAGGCTCAGGCAGGAATATCGTTTGAGCCCGTAAGTTTGAGGCTATAATAGTGCTCTATGATTGTGCCTGTGAATAGCCACTGTACTCCAGCCTAGGCAATGCACTGAAGCCCTGTCTCTTAAAAAATAAAAGAAAGAAAAAAGAAAAGAAAATTTATAAACTTGAATTACAAGGAGACAGAGCTGTAAATATGAAATTGGGGTTAACAGACATGAAAAACAGATTCACATCCACTCATAGGAGTTTAGGGACAGAGTACATACAACATGGGAAAGGCAAAATTTGAAAAGACAATGGCTAAGTCTTCAGAATTGATGAGAGAAGTTTTTAGAATTGATGAAAGACATGACTCCTCTGACTCAGTAGGCATAATGAATCCCAAACACAATAAATAATATGCTAGACATCGACAAAGTTTCACATTTTAGTGAAACTGCAGCACATCAAACACAAAGCATCTTACAAGCAGCCAGCAAACCCCCACAAGTCACCTACGAACAAGACAGAGTAGACTTCTTTCGTTAAATAGAAACAACACGCCAGACAACATAAAACAGTATCTTCAAAATACTGAGAGGTAACAGCTATCAACCTGTGTAATTCTAGATTGAACTAACTTTTAAAGTGAAATAAAATAAAGATACTTTCAGATAAAGTCTAGAATATTTACGATTAAGGAACCATTGCTGAAAGCACAAATCAAGGGCTTGCACACTAAGGTGCATTTAGATATCTGAAGGGCATTTTTGCTTTTTACAATGACTAGGGAGTTTTACTAGCATGTAGCATGTATATGAAAGCTTTTAAAAAAGGGAAATTTTCGGCCAGGTGCAGTGGCTCACGCCTGTAGTCCCGGCACTTTGGGAGGCCGAGGTGGGAGGATCACGAGGTCAGGAGATCGAGACCATCCTGGTTAACAAGGTGAAACCCCGTCTCTAAAAATACAAAAAAATTAGCCAGGCGTGGTGGCGGGTGCCTGTAGTCCCAGCTACTAGGGAAGCTGAGGCAGGAGAATGGCATGAACCCGGGAGGCGGAGCTTGCAGTGAGCCAAGATCGCGCCACTGCACTCCATCCAGCCTGGGCAACAGAGCGAGACTCCATCTCAAGGAAAAAAAAAAAAAAAAAAAAAAAGGGAAATTTTCTATGAAGAGCAAGACAGTCCTATACAACAAATAACTGTACAATCCAAATGCTGTTAGTGGTCCACTGAGAAACACAGAAGAGGGAAGATACAAGATGGGACGGTAAACAAAAATTGTATGACCTGTGGATTAACTTTTAATAAACAAAAATAAAAATTACAATTTATGGGTATAAACATGAAACAGAAGTAAAATACTAGAAATGGCATGATTAGAATTAAAGTTTCCCAAAGTCTGTGTGTCACAGTAGAACTATAGGTAAGTTTTAGACAAAAATTGTGTATGGGTAACAACATAAGCACACAAATTGAAAGTAAGAAGAGGAGAAAAGATGACACAAATATCAAGCCAAAAAAAAAAAATCAGCCACATTAATAGCAGACAATATAGATTCTAGGGTAAAACCACTATTATAAATCAAGATGTTCATTACATAATAACAACTATAAAACTATGTGTACCCAATAATACAATTTCAAAAGACATACTAAAAAAACCTAATGCTATGAGGACCAACTGTTGAACCCATGTTTGGGTAGCTTTAAAAAAATCATATTTGGATAGCTTTCAAAACCTCAATAGATCAAGAAGGTAACAGATTAAAGTATAAAGAAGTACACAAGTAACAAACTTGAGTTAATAGACACATAGCAAACTTTCCAGTCAATAAATAGAGAACACATAATTTCTTCAAGCACATTTATAAAAACTGACCCCTTTCTATAAAAGAACACCTATTATATAATATGTTCTCTGACACTACAATTCTACAATTAAGCTGTAAAATGTTAAGAAGATAACCAAGATATCCCCATTACTTTAGGATATAAAAAAACAGAAGACCTTGCTTTAAAAATAGGTCCAGTGAAAATAACAAAAACGTGATCTTGACTAACGTGTCTTACCGATATAATACGATCTCCTTTTCTGAGCTCTCCACTTAGATCAGCAGGTCCTCCGGCTAAGATAAAGGAAATAAATATTCCTTCTCCATCTTCTCCTCCTACAATGTTGAAACCAAGGCCCGTTGAGCCACGATGAAGAACAACTTTTCTAGGTTCCCTAAAAATTAAAAAAAATTGAGTATCTTGGAAATTTTATATAAAACCTGACATTCTATCAGTGAGAACTACCTACTGATAATTTTTATGTTATCAAACTACAAAGAAAGCTAGACAAAATATAAATGGTTTTTCTAAAACTACGAGATAAAGAGATTCTAAGCCTACAAATCAAAGGAAAAAATCTAATTTTATATAAAAGCAAAAAACCTGTGTTATATAAAACAGAAATGAAACCAAAACAGAAAAAAAACGTGGAAATTTAAAAGTATTATAAGAGCTTATCAGGAAATACACATACTCATGAAAAGCTGATGTTGCACACTTTATTGCCTTCAAAGCAATCACTGCCCCTACTTAGAAGTTTAAAAGGCAGGTATCCTTTTGTCTTAGAGAAGGCAGGCCCTTTCTCCAGTCTCAAAGGGATGAACCATAACCAACCTAAACAAGTTATTGCAATCCCATGCCCCTTTGCTGAGGTGAGAGTATAACCCCATTCTAACCTCTGGTAAATGAAGGGAAATTTTATTGTCATTTTCTAGAGACAGACAAACCTTATCAAGGACAAAGCATCTTTGCTACCTTCCTTTCCTCAAAAAAACGAAACAAAATAAACAAAACCCCACACGACTGAATAATACAATCCCTTTACTGGTTTGGACATATTATAATCAGGAAGGTGAAACCAAGAGTATACCGAAGACACCACAGGCCTAAGGTTGCTATACCAACCTTGGAAATGCCCATCTTCAGGCTTTTTATATGAAATAATTAAAACCTATCTGCAGGGGCACAGGTAGGTTTTATCATATTAGTGATGTTTTATTTCCTAAATTAGATGGTGAATTCCGGATTTACTGTTCCCATTATGCTTTAAAATATGTATGAATTAGAATTTTATATTAGGAAATTATACTTGATTAAAAAATACTCAGCTGAAATTCAACAGTATTTCCAGGGGAAAATACACTCTGATTTTCAAATAATGTAAGCACATGAAAAGGTGCTCAACATCATCAGTCACTAGGGAAAGAGATATAAAAATAATGAGATACTTCAGGTCTACTAGGATGGCTATTAAAAAAACCACAAAACAAAAAGTAACAAGTGTTGATGAGGATGTAAAGAAATTGCAACTCACACATTACTGATGAGAATATAAAACGGTGCAGGCACTACGAAAACCAGTTTGGTGGTTCCTCAGAAAGCTAACATAGAATTACCATATGACTCAGCAATTCCACCCTTAGGTATATATCCCAAGTAACTGAAAGCAGTGATTTGGACAGATACTTGCATGCCAGTGTTTATTATAGAATTACTCACAATAACCAAAAGGTGAAAATAACTCAAGTGCCCATCATTAGATGAATAAACAAAATGTGGCATATATGTATAATTGAACAGTATTGTCATAAAAACAAATGAAATTCTGATACATGCTAACAAATGAGTGTATCTTGACAACATAAGTGAAATAGGCCAGTCACAAAAGGACAAATATTATACAGTTCCACTTTTATAAACTATCCAGAATAGGCAAATTCATAGAGACAAAAAGTAGATTAAAGGTTACCAGGGGCTGGGAAGACAGTGGAAGGGAGAATTACTGCTTAATGGTCACAGAGTTTGTCTGAAGTAATGAAAAGGTTTTGGAAATAGTGAAGGGTTCCGAAAATTGTGAATGCAATTAACACTACTGAATTGTACACTTAAAAATAGTTAAAATGTCAAATTTTGTTATATATATTTCGCTACAATTTTTAAAAACTGATGTAATATACCACAAATTGTATACTTTAAACAGGTGAAATTTATGATATGTGAATCATATCTCAATAAAGCTGTTAAAAAATAAACTTTAGAACCAAAATGTAGGTATGTTGTGATTTTTTTTTTTACTTTTTTGATATTGGTAACATCTGAAAGACTGCTTAAAGTCAAATTGTGAAGAACTTATAATGTTGGAAAGATTTTATACTTCATTATTACAAAGTAGTGTGATTATCAAAAGGGAGTGGTTCATACTTAAAAGTCCAATGCAATATTCTAGACAAGAGACTCAAGTGAAGAAGCATGAGGAACAGTAATCAAGGTGCAAATATAACTTATTTTTTAGTTTGTAAAATATGCAAAGAGATTAAAGACTAGATAAGCCATTCACTATTACAGTTTCCCTCTTTACGGCCTTAAATAGGCACTATTAGAAAGTAATAAAAATAAATGGCAATGAAAGGTCACTCTAGAAGCACTGCCTGAAGACTAGCAGCCTTGGATATTCCCATCACAAACAAATAAGAACACTATTCTTTCTGCTAATTTTCATCCCAAACACAATTACTGACAACCTATTAAGTTTCCAACATTGCTAATTCTTTATGAAAGAAAAGAGACAAACACTCCTATCTGTCCTAAAGATCACTGCCTAGAATCAGGAGTCTGATAAGTAAAAAATAATAATAATGCTAACAATAATGTAATCAATAAACGTTAAGAACAGACATTACTTAGTACACATTTTAATGTTGAATCTGTAATATAAAAGACGTGTACAAATTACAAAGCAAACTCTATAGTGTCTTATTACTATATTGAATAATATGAAAAAGATCTACAATGCTTTTTCACCAATTTTTTTCTACCTCATTAGAATTCTTTGGGATTAAAAAGACAGTTAATCTATACATTTCAGTGCAGGTAGTAATTTTAGATGAAAGTAAATTTTGTGTGTCAGAATATCAAGGATATATAGCAAACAAACAAACCCACCCACCAGCCAGGCAAAGGGGATCACGCCTGTAATCTTAGTACCTAGGGAGGCAGATACGGGAGGATAGCTTGAGTCTAGGAGTTGGAGGCTGCAGTGATGTACGTTCATAGCACTGCACTCCAGCCTGGGCAACAGAGTAAGACCCTCCTGCTAAAACCAAACCAAACCACCACTTATTGAATTCTGAACACAAATCAAATAACTGCCATATTTTTATGGTATATATTAGATAAGGAACATATAAAATGTTACTTTAAAATATGCATAAGAATTTTCTTAACTTAGTTTTACTAAGCTAATTCCTAAGGACAATTTACCAAGCCTCAAAGAAAAGCAGTATTAATTTTAAAAAAGGAGTGGTAATTTATTTGTAAAAATAAAACATGTATATTTCAGGCTCTTCAATGAATCCTCCTATGGAAAAAAATTAACCTTTAAGCTCACTAACTGTCAATAAAATTTTTTAGTCCTAAAAATTGTGGCTATCTTACATGGCTGATTAAAATTCAATTTAATAGTTGATTTTATGTAAGAAGGATAAATGTTAACTTCCTTACCTTGTAATTTCATCATCTCCAAGTACTGCTTTAGAAACTGGGGAGTATCTGGCTGGAGATGCTGGTGTCTGGCCCAAGAAGGAAGATGGGCTAACATGGTTATCAACAGGCTGAGAAGAAGCTTCAAAATAAACAAAGTGAAAAATACTTCAAACACGAAACAAGCCAATCAGTATTCCATTTATGAGTGATTAATGTGTAATTTATATGCACTCCTTTATATATCAGAATTTGGTAGAGAAGATTTACTCATCAGCCAAAAAACTGGACATTATGTTGCCCAGGTTAGTCTCAAACTCCTGTCCTGAAGTGATACTCCCACCTCAGCCTCCCAAAGTGTTGGGATTACAGGCATAAGCCACCACACCCAGATTACTTAAAGAATTATATACAGTCCAAATTTGATTGTGAATAATAAAAATCAGAGGCTTTCCAATAAGTGCGAAAAGACTATGTCCTTATACTAGCTCAGATCTGTCAACCTAATTTACATCTATGCTTTTAAATTCACCCATAGAAGAATAAAAACCTGGTAAAAAGCAAAAACGAAAAACAAGCAAAAACTGTCGTCCAGGCGTAGTGGCTCACGCCTGTAACCCTAGCACTTTGGGAGGCCAAGGCAGGCGGATCACCTGAGGTCAGGAGTTCGCGACCAGCCTGGCCAACATGGTGAAATCCCATCTCTACCAAAAAAATACAAAAATTAGCCAGACTTGGTGGTGTGGCCTGTAGTCCCACTTACTCGGGAGGCTGAGGTGGGAGAATTGCTTGAACCTGGGAGGTGGAGGTTGCAGTGAGCCGAGATCGCATCACTGCACTCCAGCCTACGTAGGTGACAGAGTGAGATGCCCTGTCTCGAGAAAGAAAAAAAAAAAAAAAAAAGCAAAAACCAAACGTTGGTTCACTTCAATAGTAATAAATACCACATATAGGTTTTCCATTCTAGCAAAAGCTAATAACAGAAAATTATAGTGATTCCTGACCATGCTTTCTAAAGACACAGGTAGGTAACACATGGCAGCTGTAGCTTACAAAGACATAAGACACTTGAATTATTCCAATCATTACCAAAACACAGAGGAAGCAATATTTAACTTTCTTGAGGCTTCAACTATGATAAAGTTACAAAGCACTTCAAAAGTAGCTGTATTATTTAAT
This sequence comes from Homo sapiens, assembly GCF_000001405.40. Lineage (NCBI taxonomy): Eukaryota > Metazoa > Chordata > Mammalia > Primates > Hominidae > Homo > Homo sapiens. Next base: position 197,120,568 of record NC_000003.12, read on the forward strand.
TATCAAGCATTAATCTCTTTTTTATTAAATTAGAGCATATCTTCTATGGAGGGAAGCAGCATACTACGCACTGGAGTACAAAAATGCAGGAATTATTAGTTCAAATTACTATAGTGGCCAGATAGGTAACATAAAGGAATAAAGTGAACTGGATGAAAGACAACAGGAAATGACTGAAACGATAGTATTTTAGAGATGCAGTGTATCTATTGATATTACAGGTTTGCAGTATCCAACAGCAATTGTTTCCTATCCAGTTCATATATAAGATGCTCGTTTGTATTTGAGCCAAAGGACTTTCTACCAATGGCTCTTAACTTTGAAAGTCCAAAGTCTTTCCTGGGTGGTCAGTAAGAATATGGGATTTTCAAGTGAATTGGTATGTAGCCCTCAATCAATAGATACCCACGTGAACCTCTACAATCACTAGCCTGTTAAAAATCCAGAGTTTACTGATTTTTGACTCTTAAATTCTTTTGCTGCATTTTCATATTTAGATGAAACAAAAAAAACAACTAGACAAGAAATCCAGTCAAATGCCCAAACCAGAAAATATACATTTTCCCTGACACATCCAGACTATCCCTTTAGTCAATGCATCCTTTCTGGGGCAGTTAATCTCACATGTACCACATACTCTCAGACAACAGAGACTAAAAATTAATGTTCCTATGAAAGAAATGACGGCCTCAAAGAAGGATCAGATAAAACAGTACTATTTCTTATACCCCAAATCTTATGTAAAAAGGTCCCCCAGAGAAGCACAAGAGTGCCTAATTCATTTTTCTTATATATTAAGATGAATGATTCAACACTATAAGATTTTATAGAAAAGCAAGTAGAAGAGCTTGAAGTGAGAATGGGAAAAGACTGGTGTCCAAATCAGAAGTAGCAAGGCCATGCAGCTAAAGAGAATATAAGTTAAAAGCGAGAAAATATATACTGTAAAAAACAGGAACATTTTAATGTCGGCAGAGAAACTGTATTCTCTGTTAGATTCAACAGACTTCTTTTTTTTCCTACTTTTATTCCTGAGTATCATATTTTGACTACCTTATTTTGGTTATAAACATTGTGGCTCTTTATCTTCTATAGTTCATGTATAACTTCTATGATCTTCCCTATTTCTTTTACTATTCTTGCTAAAAATATTTTTCTAACTAGTACAAAAATTGTTTTCCAATTTTGACATCTGCTCACTTGCAAGGCTGCCTCTGTGAGAAACATCCCCTCCATCAATGCTTGACAATCACCACAAAAAAAAAAAAAAAAAAAAATCAAATGTTATCTAGTCCTCTTAGGTAACAAGAGAAAGAAAATCTGAACATTCTTGTGTCTGCTAAGGAAAATGCATTCAGAACTAAAATCCTTCCCAAGAAAACTCCAGGGCCAGACAGATAGATAGCTTCATTGGAAAATTCAACAAAACATCTAGAGATGAAATAACATTCTGAAACATTACAAGACAGAAAAATTTCAGGACACTATCGTTAAGTTCATGCTTGTGAACACAGATGTAAACCTAAACAAAATATAAGCAGTTCAAAATCAATGATATATAATATATATTATAAGGATGTGGGTTTTTTCCCCCCACAAATGAATGGTTTAGCGTTAGAAAATCAATGTAATTTATCACGTTAACAAAATAAAAGAGAAAAATCATCTCCATAAATAATTGGATAAAATTCAATACTTACAGGATAAAAACTCCCCATAAACCAGGAATAAAGATTAACTTTCTTAATACAAAAAGGGTATCTACAGAAGACCTGCTGGTAACACCATATACAATGGTGAAATACTGTGTCCCCCAGTTTGTGAACATGACAGTGATATTTATTATCACCATTTCTGTTCAACACTGAACTGGAGGTCTTACCAATGCATCAGACAAGAAAAAAGAAAATGAACAGTATAAAGATAGGAAAGAAGGAAGTAAAATTCATTGTTCACAGATGACATGGTTATATACGTAGACGATCTGAAAGACCTATAAAACCTAACATTAACAAATTTAGCAAGATTGTTGACTAAGCAATTAATATACAAAACAGATATTTCCTATATATCAGTTAAAATTAGAAACATTTACAAAGTAGTACATTTATAATAGCATGAAAAACATCAAATAGCCAGGACTAAATCTAACATATAAAACCTCTACTATACAACACTGCAGAGAGAATGTAAGAAGGACTTCAATAAAAGAAGAGATATTCATATTAATGGACTGATTAAGAAACTCAATTTAATTCTTCCTAAACCGATCTGTAATGTTTTTGATCCTAAAATTAAAAAGGAAATTCAAAGACCCAACATAATCTTGAACAGTAACAAAATTAAGATTTACTTTACATCAATATTTATTATAAAATTATGATAATTAAGAGACTGCAGGTGGTACAAAGACAAATAGTTCAATGAAACAGAAGAGCCTAGAAATAGGTTCATATATATGTGGTCACTTAAAAGAAAAGCACCAATGCAATTCAGTGGCAGAAATGGTCTTTCAATAAATGATGCTAGATCAATTATATATCTGCATATTAAAAAATCTCTCATTACATGCAAAAATTAGATCAAAATGGATCGGACCTAAATGTGAAAGGCAAAATAATAAAGCTCCTACAAGTCCCTTATGACCTAAGGATAGGAAAAATTTCAACAGGTCACTAAAAGCACTACCTTAATAGAAAAGACTGATAAGGAATTAAAAAATTTTATCCATCAAAAAGTACCATTGTTTTGAGGGAAAACATAAACTCAGTGAAGACATCTGCAACAGATGTAACTGATTAGAGTTATTTCTCAAATACATAAAACTTCCTTTAAATCAATAATAAAACCAATGGAAAAATGTAAAAAGATTTGAACAGACATTGCATTGAACAAGAGTCAAAGCAATAAGCACAGGCAAAAATGCTGAAAATAATTAATCATCAGGAACAACCAGCAATAAATGAATAAATAATAATCATTAAAATCATGAGATAACTTTATACATATACATACTATTCATAATTAAAAAGATGGATAATACCAAGGGTTGGTGAGGATGTAGAAAAACTGGGGTCTTAATTGCCTCCTATACTGTTGAAATTGTTCAGCAGTATCCGCTGGAGACTAAACATATGCCTACCCTGTAACACAGCAACCTCACTCCATGAGAAATGACTGCTTATGTCTGACAAGGATGTGCAAAAACATCCACAGCAGCTACACTCATAAAAGATCAGAACTGTAAGTGACTCAACAGTAAAATGAAAAAAATTGTTGTACACTTATACAATGGAATAATACATAGCAGTTTTAAAAAGCCATGTGACTGATCATTAAGCTAAATTCTTAAAATTGGTACCCTTACTGAATATATGTTTTAATTCAATTAAAAATTAAATAAAGAGGTCAGGTGCAGTGGCTCCTATCTGCAATCCCAACACTTTGGGGGCACTGAGGCAGGATCACTTGAGGTTAGGAGCTTAGGCAACATAGTGAGACCCCATCTCTACAAAACAATTTTAAAAATTAGCTGGGCATGCTATCCTAGACACTTGGAAGGCTGATGTGGGAGGATGGCCTGAGCCCAGGAATTCAAGGCTACAAGGAACTATCATCGTGTCACTCCACTGCAGCCTGAGCAGCTGAGTGAGATCCTGTCTCAGGTAAAAGAATCTTTTTATAGACTTTCCCCATTTCTTTACTGGGTATGTTTTTTTATTTTTCTTACAGAGTCTTGCTTTGTCGCCCAGGCTGGACTACAGTGGCGCGATCTCAGCTCACTGCAAACTCCGCCTCCTGGGTTCAAGCAATTCTCCTGCCTTAGCCTCCCGAGTAGTGGGGACTGCAGGCACTTGCCACCATGCCCGGGTAATTTTTTGTAGTTTTAGTAGAGATGGGGTTTCACTGGGTTAGCCAGGATGGTCTTGATCTGCTGACCTCATGCTCCGCCCGCCTCGGCCTCACAAAGTGCTGGGATTACAGGCGTGAGCCACCGTGCCTGGTCTCTTTTTTAAGAGATGGGTCTCATTATGTTGCCCAGGCTGGAGTGCAGTGGCCAGACACAGGTGCAATAATAGTGCACTATAACCCCCAAACTCCTGGGTTCAAACAACCCTCCTGCCTCAGCCTGCCAAATAATTGGGACCACAGGCACGCACCATTGTGCCTGGCTTTTTTCCTTTTTGATGTGAAGAAGTCTTAACATGGTAGGAAAATCAGCTCTCGGTGATATTAAGCAGAGAAAAGGAGCAGTGTTAGAGAGGTATCTTAAGACTGTAGGACGATCCCTCCTATTTCCTTCAGATAAGGAGTATGTAAACATGTTCGTGTGCTGATGGTAATGATCCAGTAGACAGAGGATTTGATTATGCAAGAGAGAGAAGGGACAGCTGCAAGAACAAGATTCTCTGCAGACAACAAACAATGACATTCAGTATACAAATGGAAGACCTGGTTTTCAACAGGAACAATGACAGTGACTCCCATTAAAACACAAGTGAAAGTCGAGTTTCGGGGTAAAAATATAATTACATAGGTATATCTGAAAGTGGAAAAATAAGGAAATTCTCTTCTGGGTGCTTATATGAAATATGAAGTGAGATCATCATTCATGAATAGTAGATGGCAAGTGAAGGTTTGAGGGGAGAGAAAAATTCTTTAGAGTGGGAGAGTGAATTAGGGAAATGTAGTAGGACTGCAGGCAAGAGTAAGGCACTATCTATGATTTATGGCCATACGTAAAAAGCAGAATTTTGTGCTTTTCTCCATGGTTCTGCTTTTTAGGAACCATAAATGAAATAGCAGAGTTTGCCTGCACCAGTGTTGGGGGATTCTGCTGCGAAGAAGAAGGGGGCAAAGGACTTGAAGATGTGCAATGAAGTGAACATGAGAAACCATGGAATCTAAGCTAATACAAATAGAAAAATTGAGACAAGGGGCAACAAAATAATAATGTCAAATGACTGAAGGTCAAAATGAGATGGAATTGCTAGAATAGAGGTGAATGAACTGAGGGTTGTAGTCACACAATGGGATGATCAAACTGGTATTTTAGAGGTGATGAAAGTTAATAATTATAGATAACAAAATCTAAAGTATTATCTTAGAAGCAAGTAACTGAGTTGAAGTGGAGGGCAGGATAGTCAGAAAGAGATGAAGAAACCAAAAAGTCAGGGTGTTGGATGAATCATTAGTGTGGTTTTTGGACATGACCAGGAATGACAGCATGAGTAACAGTGGCAAAACGACAATGGGCCTTCGCACTAAAGTCTTCAGTGACTACAGCCAGACTGATGAAGAGAACACCAGATCACCACAGCCAGGGATAGAGAGTAAGCTGAATAGCCTGACAGCAGGGTGACTGTGCAGGCTTCAGAAGAACTGACAAGTAAAACTCACTTATGTAAAAAAAATTTAAACACAAGTGCTTTTCAAAAAACACAAACAGATTGTTTATGAATTGCATATGCAGAAGTGTACAACGAAACCCACATCTACAGTTGCCTAAGAAGGGAAGGGACTGGAAGCAAAATATTATGATCAAGTTGAAACTGCAAGGTGAATGTCAGCTTTTTCATAATGCTTTATTAGTTCAATAACAGATGGGGGAAAAAGTAACATAATCAGCTGGGCTCGGTGGCTCATGCCTATAATCCCAGCGCTTTGGGAGGCCGAAGTGGGTGGATCATCTGAGGTCGGGAGTTCGAGACCAGCCTGACCAAACATGGAGAAACCCCGTCTCTACTAAAAATACAAAATTAGCAGGGCGTGGTGGCGCATGCCTGTAATCCCAGCTACTGAGGCAAGAGAATGGCTTGAATCTGGGAGGCAGAGGTTGTGGTGATCCGAGATCACGCCACTGCACTCCAGCCTGGGCAACAAGAGCGAAACTCCATCTTAAAAAAAAAAAACAACATAATCATAATCAGGGCACTAATACTCAATTCGTGGAACAACTGTCACAATGTGCACATGGTTATTAGATAGGCAGCATTTAAAATAAGATACTTGAATTGATGAATAAAATGGCTCATTATTTAAAAAATACACAAAGCCTTTATATAAAGTTTATGTGCTAGAGGAAGTATATGTAAGAATTTCAAATAAGTAGCAAGGTTCTTTTCTTTGACACAAAAGAAGTATAAGACACCATCCCTGTACATCAGACAGGTTAAATACTATTAAGGAAATAATTCAATTATACTTGAGCAATTAATAAATCAATGAGCAGATAATGAAGATACATTACTGGAGGGCAGTATGTAGATTTCAAAATGTCATGTTTTTAACTGATAATGATTAGTAATATAATGAATCTTGACAGTTCTAAAATTGGAAGCACTGTTACTTTAAAAATCACCAATATTTCTAAAATTCTACAATTTAAAAAAGGAGCACTCAAAAGCAGGTTATACCCAGTACGTTTAAGATCTTTATTATTTACGGGTTCTTCAAACATTAACTCAATGCAAAGAACAAATACAGATTTCATTTTTCCACCAATACAAACACATTAAAAAATATACTTAAATCTCTTCTCAGCTTATATATTTAAAAAACTGAATATAAAATGGCCAGGTGCGGTGGCTCACGCCTGTAATCCCAGCACTTTGAGAGGCCGAGGCAGGTGGATCACCTGAGGCCAGGAGTTTGAGACCAGCCTGGCCAACATGGCGAAACCCCGTCTCTACTAAAAATACAAAAGTTAGCCAGTCATGGTGTCGCAAGCCTGTAATCCCTGCTACTAGGGGGGCTGAGGCAGGAGGATCGCTTGAACCTGGGAGGCGGAGGTTGCAGTGAGCTGAGATTGCACCACTGCACTCCAGCCTGGGCAACAGAGCGAGATTCTGTCTCCAAAAAAAAAAAAAAAAAAAAAAAAAAAAAAAAAAATATATATATATATATATATATATATATATATATATATAAAGTAAGAAACCTAAAAATACGTAAGTACTTTAAGAACAATTTAATCAACTGCAACACAACTGAACTGCATACAAATATAAGCACTAGAACCTGAAAGTACAAAGATAAATAGTATCTCTCCTCATGTACCTAAGAGCAAAGAAAATCCCTTTAATTTTAGATATATTGTAAATCAGTGTTTCTCAAAGTGCAGGCCATGAACTAGCAGCACCAGAAACCTCAGAATTACAGACATACCTCAGAGATATTACAGTTCCATACCACAGCAATAAAGCGAATATTGCAATAAAGCCTGTCATTATAAATTTTTTGGTTTCCCAGTGCATGTACAAGTTATGTTTACACTATATTAAGTAAGGAATAGCATTATGTCTAAAAATACAATGTACAGGCCTTAATTTAAAAATACTTTATTGCTAAAAAAAAACCGCTAGCAATCATCTCAGCCTTCAGCAAGTTATAATGTTTTTGCTGGTGGAGCATCTTGCCTTAATAATGATAGCCTTGATACTGAGGGTGGTAGTTGCTGAAGGGTGGGGTGCCTGTGTTAATTTCTTAAAATAAGACAAAAATGCAGTTGGCCATATCCACTGACTCGTTCTTTTACAAAAGATTTCCCTGAAGCATGTGATGCTGGTTTGTTAGCATTTTACCCACAGTAGAACTTCTTTCAAAACTGAAGTGAATTCTCTTAAACCCTACTGCTGCTTTATCAACTAAGTTTATGTAATATCCCAAAATCCTTTGTTGCCGTTTCGATAATGTTCACATCATCTTCACCTACCAGGATTAGATTCCATCTCAAGAAACCACTTTCTTTGATTATCTATAAGAAGCAACTCCTTAGTTGTTAAAGTTTTATCATGAGGTTGCAGCAATTCAGTCACATCTTCAGGCTCCACTTCTAATTCTAGTTCTCTTATTATTTCTACCAATTTGCAGTAACTTCTGCCACTAAAGTTTTGACCTGTTCCAAGTCATCCAAGAGGGCTGGAATCAACATCTTTGAAACTCCTGTTAATGCTGATATTGTGACCTCCTCCCATGAATCATGAATGTCCTTAAAGGCATCTAGACTGGTGAATCCTTTGCAGAAGGTTTTCAATTTACTTTGCCCAGATCCATCAGCGGAATCACTACCTATGACAGCTATAGCTTTATAAAATGTATTTCTTAAATAGTAAGACTTGAAAGTCAAAATTATTCCTTGATCCATGGACTACAGAGTGGATGACAAGTTAGTAAGCATCAAAACAACATCAGTCTCCCTGCACACTGCCATCATAGCTCTTGGGCAGCTAGGTGCATTGTCTCAGAGCACTAATATTTTGAAAGGAGTGTTTTTTTTTTGTTTTTTTCTGAGCAGCAGGTCTCAATAGTTGGCTTAAAATATTCAGTAAACCATGCTGTCAACAGATATGCTGTCATTCAGGCTTTGTTGCTTCAGTTATAGAGCACAGGTTTCATTACAGTTATACAGAACAGGCAGACAGGCTTAGCATAATTCCTTGGATTTTCTGGACTGGTAAATGGGCATTGGCTTCAACTGAAAATCACCAGCTGCATTAGCAACTAACAAGAAAGTCAGCTTGTACTTTGAAGCTTTGAAGTCAGGCACTGACTTATCCTCTCTAGCTGTGAAAGTCCTAAAAGGTGTCTTTTTCCAGTAGAAGGCTGTTTCATCTACATTGAAAAATTGTTGTTTGGTGTAGCCACTTCCATTAAGTATCATAGCCAGATCTTCTGGATAACTTGCTGCAGCTCCTACAGCAGCACTTGCTGCTTTACCTTGCACTTTCATGTTATAGAGATGACTTCTTTCCCTCAACCTCATGAACCAACCCCTGCTAGCCTCACATTTCTCTTCTACAGCTTCCTCACCTCTCTCAGCCTTTTCAGAATTGAAGCACAGTTAGGGTCTTGTTCTGGATTAGGCTTTGGTTTGAAGGAATCTTATGGTTGGTTTGATCTATCTAGACCACTTCAAACTTTGTCCACAACAGCAATCAGATTGTCTTGCTTTCTTATCATTAGTGTGTTCACTGTAACAGTACTTTTAATTTTCTTCAAGAACTTTTCCTTGGCATTCACAACTTGGCTAACTGCAGCAAGAGGTCTAGCTTTCTCCCTTTATTGCCATTGAACATGCCTTCCTCACTAAGTTAAATCTTTTTGACATATAATGAGAAATATGCAACTTTTCACTTGAGCACTCAGAGGTCATTGTAGATTTATTAACTGGCCTAATATCAATATTGTTGTATCTTGGGGAATAGGGAGGCCCGAGGAGAGCGAGGGAGATAGGGGAATGACTAGTCATCAGAGGAGCAGTCAGAACACACACATTTATCTATTAAGCTTGCTGTCTTATATGAGTGTGGTTGTGGCACTCCAAAACAATTAAAATAGTAACATCAAAGACTAGTGATCACATATTACTGTAACAGATATAATAATAATGAAAAAAGTTTGAAATATTGCGAGATTTACCAAAATGTGACACAGAGACATTAAGAGACATGAAGTGAGAACATGTTGCTGAAGAAAAAAGGTGCTGATAAATTTGCTCAATTCAGGATTGCCATAAACCTTCAATTTGTAATAAATGTAGTCTCTGTGAAGTGCAATAAAGCAAAGCCCAATAAAATGAGGTATGCCTGTACTTTGCTTGTTAATAGAATGAACGGCTTGTTCAAGCAAATTTCTGTGCTCAAGTGGAAAACTTAGAACAAAACAATTTCAATATTTGCAAATGTTCTTTAGTGACTGTTACTTACATAAAAGTTTGAAAATCCTTTAAATGTAACTACTACTATAAAATAATAAAGGTGAAAAGGATCCCCCCCTTCTAATTATAAAAATTTTGACTTAAAGTAGATTTTAAAAAATGAGTAGATTAACATGCTTAATTGTTTCTTTAAAAATATTTGCATAATGTTTAAACTTTATTATACTGAGAACATTTCACTAATGGCATCACAACTGAAGAAGTAAGATAAATTTAAGCAAACGTATGCTAACAGACTTACAGTTGGTGATATCAGGTGGTGCATAGCCATCATTCATATACATACTTGTGGGTTTTGCCACTTTCAAATAAACAAAATCAGATGTGTTCTTTAAGGCAGTTACTGCTTCTTCATGAGTAACTTCTTCTAAACATACGTTATTCACCTAAAAAAAGTCCCAAAAGACATTTATGACATATTCACTTGTTCTCTGAGTTTTGGAAACAATTTCACGAAAAGAAAGGGAAAATAAGAGAGTGGTTTAAGGAAAATAAAGGTATGCCGAAAGAAAATACCCATGTTTGATGTCTATGATCTCAGTAAGTTGTTTATCATGACATGTGAAGTCGTTGAATGTTAACAGAATAGCCCATCTTGATTCCAGTCTCCATACCTCCTATTCTCCCAGTCTTGATTTTCTCTCATTCTTAGGCATTTAGGAATGTGTGTGGATGCGTTTTAGACATTTTTATCTTTAAAGAAATGAAAACATACTAAAATTTTTGTTTTTATGTTAGGATTTTTAATGTAAGGTACCTTAGAGACTGTTCCATGTTGGGACACAAATTAATAGAATTACTACATTGTAACAAAACAGCTGCACAGTAGCCCATTGTGTGGCTATATCATAATTTATTAAAGATCATATCTGTTAATATTCCCATATTTAGATTGGAAAACTATTAGAACACAATTGAGCACAAATATTTAAATTGTTCTCCTAAATGGTTTTAGTAAATTTATACTCACTACCACAGAATATGAGAGTGCCCATCTACTTAGACCTTTGCCAACATTAAACATTATCAACTAATTTAAAAAATCTGTAAAATGATGCATCTTTTAATTTATACATCAATTAGTTTTAAATTTCTACTTTCGTAATACTCAAGTTGATTTTTTTTCAATTATTTTTTGGCCATTCACCTATCTTCTGTATAGAAATATAACTGATTTTTAGGTAGTGATGTATCCTGCAACCAATACTAAACTAATTTATTAGTTCTATTAGCAGGTTCCTAGGATAGTCTATATACAATATGATGACATCAGCAAATATAGTTTTATTTCTTCCTTTCTTTTTTTTTTTTTTTTTTTTTTTTTTTGAGACGGAGTCTCGCTCTGTCGCCCAGGCTGGAGTGCAGTGGCGGGATCTCAGCTCACTGCAAGCTCCGCCTCCCGGGTTCACGCCATTCTCCTGCCTCAGCCTCCCAAGTAGCTGGGACTACAGGCGCCCGCCACTACGCCCGGCTAATTTTTTGTATTTTTAGTAGAGACGGGGTTTCACCGTTTTAGCCGGGATGGTCTCGATCTCCTGACCTCGTGATCCGCCCGCCTCGGCCTCCCAAAGTGCTGGGATTACAGGCGTGAGCCACCGCGCCCGGCCTATTTCTTCCTTTCTAATCTGATTTTCTTTTTCTTTTTCTTTTCTTATTGCCCTGGATAGAATCTCAACTATAACACTGATTAGAAGTGGTAGTTTATGTCTTTCTAGCAATCTGTCAATTTCATCTAAGTTACCTCAGGTATTAGCACATAGTTACTCATAATAGTCTCTTGTTTTCCCTCTTTCATGCTTGCTTTCAGAAATTTCAGCCTTCTCTCTTTTTTCTTGGCTGGTCTGAAGGTTTGTCATTTTGTTGATTTTTTTTTCAAAGGACCAACTTTCAGTTTTGTCTGTCTTCTTACATCTTTTCTATTACCTATTTCATTAATTTCTGCTCTAATCTTTATTATTTCCACCCTTCTGTTTGCTTTAGGTTTGGATTGTTCTTCTCTTTGATACATTTTTTTTTTTTGCAAATAAGTAAAACATTATCAATGTTTCCGTTTTAAATTACCATGTATTAACAATATTAACTTTAATATATTTTTCACTTTTTCCTAATTTGTACCTTTATAGTTGACTATTGCAGTTTTTAATATTTTCACAAAAAAATGTAAAGGTCACAGAATAATAATTTCCCTTCACTGATGATTAACATTGCTTTGCAGAGTCTCAGCAGCATGGTCATTTTTATGGCTCCACATTACCATGCAAAGCAAGGACTGCCTGCATTTTGAAATACATATTAAATAGCTGTGGCATACTGCTGAAATACACATTAAATAGCTGTGGCATACTGCTGAAATACACATTAAATAGCTGTGGCATACTGCTGAAATACACATTAAATAGCTGTGGCATACTGCTGAAATACACATTAAATAGCTGTGGCATACTGCTGAAATACACATTAAATAGCTGTGGCATACTGCTGAAATACACATTAAATAGCTGTGGCATACTGCTGAAATACACATTAAATAGCTGTGGCATACTGCTGAAATACACATTAAATAGCTGTGGTATACTGCTGAAATACACATTAAATAGCTGTGGTATACTGCTGAAATACACATTAAATAGCTGTGGTATACTGCTGAAATACACATTAAATAGCTGTGGTATACTGCTGAAATACACATTAAATAGCTGTGGTATACTTCTGAAATACACATTAAATAGCTGTGGTATACTGCTGAAATACATATTAAATAGCTGTGGTATACTGTTTCTTTGGTGGCCTACAATAAGCCATGCATCCTGGTATTCACACCCTTGTAAAAATCTCTTTCTACACTGAATTTTGCTTGTCCACGTAACTAGCTTTAGCCAATGAGGTACAGTAGTTGTGAAGGAAAGAGAAGATTGATAAAAACAATGTACCAGTGCTTGTCTTCTTTGGAAAGCTTACTTTTGGAACCTAGCCACCATCCTGTGTGAAACTCACCCTAACCACGCAAAGAGACCACTGGATAATTAAGCACCTGGCTAACAGTCCCAGCTGAGTTCCCAGCTAAGAGCCAACTTGCCCACCATATGTGTCAGCCAACCTAACAGTGGATTTTGTGGCCTAGTACAGCAAAGACAAGTTGTTCCTGCCAAGCCCTATCCAATCTGCAGAATTGTAAACAAATACATGAGTGGTGTTTTTTAGCCATTAATCTCTGTGTTTTCTCACATATCACTAGATACCTGACACAAGAGCTGACACAATTTGCTGAGGGATTTAATGTGAAATGTGTAAGATGATGATCCCAAAGTTTTACGCCAGAGAAAAGTTATTTGACCATCTACCAGAGTCGTCTTCTACACATTAAGAAACAGTGACCTTGGGAGTGAATAGTAAAAAGGAGAAAATGGACAAGGAGTGAGTTCTGGATTACTTCAATGTTTAGAGGTTACAGATATGAGGAGGCACCAGACATCAGAAAGACAGAATGAAGAGTGGCTACTAAGAAGAGAAATACCAAGATAAAGGGTGACTATTAGGCAAATGAAAAAGTGTTAGAAGGAGGAAGGTGTGTCAAACTCCAGCCAGATAAGTCAATTAAGATGAGGACTGAGAATTGAATGATTCCAGTGTAATTAAGAGAACAAAAGCCTCACTAAAAGTTGATTTAAGAGAGAGACTTGCCACAATGGTATCAGCACAGGTTGCTGTCTCCTACCACCAAAGCCAGTTCTAGAGAAACCATAAAGGAAAACATGGTAGCCAAGAAATTAAAAAGTAAAACTGAGAAAACTAGTGCAACAGAAGGCTGTCTTGACTGTGTTTGTGTGTGAGTGATGAGTGATGGTGAGATGGTACTGGTTATAGTTTGAGGAAAGAGTGGTGATCTTAGCTGTGAAAGGATAAGTTAGAGAAACATAGTTCAAGTTCTGCTCTTTCCTTTTCGCCATCATTAACTAAAAAAAGTCTCCTTGCAACAATAAACAGTACTAAACAGGATGTAGAACAAAGGAATCTTTTATATATTGCTGATGTAAATTTTTACAAGCAGCCTGGAAAACAACAGGATGGTTTTTAAAAAGAATGCTACTAGTAGGATAATCAATAATCCCATGACAGTCAAGTAAAATTCTTGTACATGTTCACCAGAACACACAGCAGCTCTTCCCAGGAAAATTATTCATAATACCAAAAAAAAAAAAAAAAAAAAAAGACTTAAAATAGATTTTTAAAAACCAGTACTTGCTAGTATATTTTTAAAAACCAACTTCCTACTATGCCAGATCCAGTTTATGTGCCTTTTCAGATTCTGCTAGGCCTTGGCTGCTTGCTCAGTGGAGAGTCCTGACTATTATACTACTTTCATCTTGTCTCCTGCCCTTCCCAGTTTTCTGAGCCTCTTCTGGCTGGGACTGGGCATGGCTGATGTGTTCCACACAGTGAGGGCCATAACATGTCACAAACCTATGTTTGACCTGTCATACCACTGCAACTCTACCATTTTTGGGCTTGGGTGAAGTGTTGTGCCATGGAGTATAGGAGCTGGCTTCCCTAGAAACTGCGCCCAGGGGAGTTGGGTAACACAATCCAAAAGCTTGGGACAAATAACCCCTAGGGGGTAGACAAGAGACAGGAGAATAAAAGGGCCAGCAGATAAACCTTTCTTTCTTTTCTCTGGATGGCTGGATGTAAGGTTTATGATGCCCGGATGGTTTTTACAGTGTCTGCCTAGAAGACTGTTATACATGACAAGCAACAAGCTACCTTATAAAATTACAGCCAGCTCAGACACATTCTACCTTCTATTGGCTCTCGTTCATTCTCTGCTTCACTCCTCATTTTTACTCACTCTAGCCTTCTTGAGATCACACAGCCAAATAATACCTTAGCACTTTAGCTTTTCTTCAGATTCCGTTTCCCTAAGGAACATGGACTGAGACAGTTATTGATTGATATGGTATGGCTCTGTGTCCCCACCCAAATGTCATCCTGAATTGTAATCCCCATGTGTTGGGGGAGGGACCTTGTAGGAGGTGATTAGATCACGGAGGTGGCTCCCCATGATGTTCTCTTGATAGTGAGTGAGTCTCATGAGATGTGATTGTTTTATAAGCATCTGGCATTTCCACTGCTGGCACGTCTCTCTCCTGCTGGCATGTGAAGAAGGGCGTGTTTGCTTTCCCCCACCCTCCACCATGACTGTAAGTTTCCTGAGTCTGGTGAGTCAATTAAACCGCTTTCCTTTATAAATTACCCAGTCTCGGGTAATTCTTCATAGCAGTGTGAAAACAAACTAATACACTGATGAAGACTGGACAAATAAATTGCAGTACAGACATACAGTGGAATAGTATGTAGAGATAAAATGAATGAACTTTAGCTCTAAGCAATGATATGGGTAAGTCTCAGTAAAGCAATATTGAGTGAAAAAAATACTGGAGATGAAAGTCTCATACAGTGCAATAGTGTTTTGAAAAAGCTTCAAAACAAATAATACTAAACAAAATTATTTAGGCATATGTATATAATTAAACTTTTTTTTTTTTTGAGATGGGCTTTCACTCTGTCACCCAGACTGCAGTGCAGTGGGACAATCACAGCTCACTGTAACCTCAACCTCCTGGGCTCAGGTGATCTTCTCACCTCAGCCTCCCAAGGAGCTGGGACTATAGGTGTATATCACCAGGTCTGGTTAATTTCTGTATTTTTTGTAGAGACAGGGTTTTGCCATGCTGCCCAGGCTGGTCTTAAACTCCTGGGCTCAAGCAATCTACCTACCTCAGCCTCCCAAAGTGCTAAGATTACAGACAGGTGTGAGCCACCACACCCGGCCTGATTAAACAATTTTTAAGAAGCAAAGGAATAAGAAACACAAAATGGTTGATGTTCTAATTCTTGGGCTGGGTAATTACTAGGTTTCATTATACTATTAAGTGAAGTAAAATAAAAAAGGGTCATGCATAAACAAATGATGACATTGTTTTATAAACCTAAGGATTATGATGAAACACTCTGTGCATACAAGCCCTCAACAACAACAAAGGAATAAAAGGAAAAGGGAGGAGGAGCTAGCAGAGAAAAGAGAAATGACAAATAAAGAATTACCAAGAATCATTTTTTAGGATTTGATACAGCAAGGCTAGTATTTGCTAATTTAAACATCATTTAGACCTTTTTGGTATGGAGAAATTCCAGTATCTATCAGAAAAATAAACAGACTACAAAATGATTTAAAAGACAATAGATTTCTTATACTTACTGCTAAAAGTTTATCTCCAATCTGAAGTTTGCCATCCTTATGTGCTGCACCTCCTTCAATTATTTTGGTTACATAGATGCTATTATCCCCAGGAATATGCTGATTTCCAACACCTCCAGCAATGCTAAACCCAAGACCTGTTTGGAAAACAGTTCTAGATTCTCATCCATAAATATGAACTTAAGCCCAGAAAGAAATGGTTGAAAACTACAAGGTAATTATTCCCTCACACTAATATTTTTTAAAATAGAAAAGAATCTATTTAGTTATCTACTAGTATATGTTCTGCAATCAAGGGACACTTAGACATACAGCTGCTCCTAGAGTTACGAATAGATTCCTTTTATCCCACATGTTCCTTCTTAGTATCTTTTCGCAAATGCACTTGTTATTCCAAAGTGACATTGCGAAATTATGTTTTACTTTTGTTTCCATCATAATTATGCTTACCTACACTTTTAATATTTTCACAAGAACAAAATTATTGAGAAGAAATAACAACATTGTCTGGTGATGGTGGGCAGAACCAACAGGCTTTAAAAATGTGAATACCTTTGTTCTTCTTCAATATTCTATGAATTAACAATTTTAAGTAAGGAATTTCTGTAATTCCTAAATCCCATAGCTTCAATATCAGATAATTTCTCAGCTCTCCATTCCTTTTTCATTTGTTGACATCCTCCCTCTTCCATGAAGCCACATATTGAAACTACTATTTCCATTTATCCTCAAGCCATCAATGTTTTAAAAATTCAGCAATCACATCTTAACAGTCCTTTACTGCAGATGTAACTGCTCATAATACATATTATAAACACTTCTTCTTTTAACTTAGCCTGTGTACCTGCATTTAAAGTATTTTGTAGATTATCACAAGTTAATAGCAATACTAAACTTCAAAGTGTTCAAGGACACAAATATTTCACTCTTTTAATGCTAGAAGTCTTCAATATAAGAATACTTAATACAAATAGGGACATATCCACTTATAAAACAAATAGATATTTTGTTCCCTACTTTTAAAAACTCTTAAAAACATGCTGAGCAAATATTGAATATAAAAATCATAAAAAACTTATAAATTTATATATATGCTCACTGCAGTAAAATGTATAAAAGCATACATCAATAAACGTAAGAATTTTGGGCCAGGTGCAGTGGCTCACACTTGTAATACCAGCACTCTGCGGGGCTGAGGTGGGAGAACTGCTTGAGCCCAGGAGTTTGAGACCAGCCTAGGCAATGCAGGGAGGCCTCCGTCTCTACAAAAAATAAAAAAAATCAGCCCAGTGTGGTGGTGTGTGCATGCAGTCCAAGCTACTTGGGAGGGTGAGGTGGGAGGATCGCTTGAGCTCAGGAGGCTGAGGCTGCAGTAAGCCATGACTGCACCACTGGACTCCAGCCAGGGTGACAGGGCAAAACCCTGCCTCAAAAAAACAAACAAAAAAACCCCGCAAAAAAAGGAACTTTTCAAATGCTGCAATCTTGGTAGAAATGTAAATATTCTAAAATGCTACGTAAGACAAAAATCAGTAGAAATAACGGAGAAATTAAAATCCACTCAAGTTCTGTAGAATATTACTAATACTGTACTTGGAATGTATGTCACAGATAAAGTTCATAGGTATATTTAACTCAGAGATTTCTTAAAGATTTATCTTAGTTTGACTTACCACATACCTTTAGGACCTTTAATGAGCTTTATTTCCATTATTTTTTCTGACACTGGTTTCCTTCTTTTTACATACAAGCGTACAATAGACCCTGCTTCTTTCAACGCTTCAACTGCTTTGCTATGTGTTACATCACGAACATCTACTTCATTTACTCGTAATATACAGTCATTGACCCTGAGAAAACAATTAAATATTAAAAATAAAAATTAAATATAATTTAAATATAAATTTTCCACTTTACCAATTTTTTGTTACTTCTTTTTTAAGGTAAAGAGAATTATAAATAATTCTGGAGTAATTCCAGAAAACATAAATGAAGAAAGTATATCAAAAACTAATATAAACAAATACAAACATTTCCCAAGGGCCAGCAAAAGGAACAAAAGAAATAGTGAAAATAATAGATTATATAAAAATGTTAAATAATAATTACAGCTACCATTTGCATACTTCCTGCATGCTTATTCTGTGTAGGCATTAAGACACACTTTATAAAAATAGCAAACATTTATTTAGCACTAACCACATGCCAGGCACTTTCTTGGTATTTTAACCCTCATGACACCTGTAAGCTTAATATATATTTTAATCCCTATTTCACAGATGGAGAAACTGAGGCACAAAGAATGTAAATAACTTTCCTAAGGCCACCCAGATAATAAGTGACAGAGCTGTGATTCAAAGATAAGAAAACTGAGGCTCACATCACGAGTTTAAGGTCACAGAGATAGTGTGAAAACTGAGATAAAGTAAAAATAATTTTCTGAGTGCCTATTCCAACCTATATATTAGACATAAAACAATTAAGTTATTTTTTGAAATTTATATAAAGATTAGGTCACTTAATTCAAAGGTTTCGTAGGTAAAGAACTTATAATTTGCCATGGTGTTATGTTTTTTAAAAGTCTGATTTGTTCCTAGTCTTAGCCTTTTCCCTAGTTCTGGTCTCTTTGATTGCATGGTATTCCACCAGGAAAAAAAGATGGTCATCTCAAATTGGGTAGAGAGGGTAAACAAAACATAATTAAAATATTAAAACTGGTCCTGACAAGCTTCTATATCTAACAGAATCAGGAAGTAAATGTCTACATTTACATGAATGGTCAAATGATTAATTTTTATATCTATTTGATTTCATTAATATACCACCTGTCATACCCAGTGAGAATTATAAAGCTTAGAAATTCAAAAACTGCGTAAGGCATCAACGTCCTTAAAATAAGATGCTGTTTTTAACAGACTACATAAACTCTTTAGTCCTAAAACTTCAGGGTATTTGAACAACAAACAAGGAAATAGGAAAAATGACATAATTTATGACCCTCAAAAAATCAAAGTTTGCAAAATATATCTTCCAAAATGGAACACTAAATTTAAACAGAGACAAATGTTATTTTCATCTAGTCAATAAGAAAATATATTATTTAAAGTTTGCATATAGTCTTTGTGGTGTGGGATTCAACATGGATGTGTGATCCTCTATCCTCCGTATCTTAAATAAGTTTATATACATGTTTCCCAGCCAGAGAGGAAATGGAAAATATTCTGTGAGTGTACTTAAATAAGTTTATACACATGTTTCCCAGCCAGAGAGGAAATGGAAAATATTCTGTGAGTGTATCTGAAAACACAAAGGGAAACTCATGATTTCTATAAATATGCTCACAAAGATTTAAACCATCAACCAAATTTGTTATTCAAAATGTTATAATATCTAAGATAAAACTGGAGTCTAAATGAAAACAGGAACACAATGCTTAGAGCATAATTATCTCATTCATTGACTTGAATGTTGTTAAAGCATCTACCCTATGCTAGTTATCATGATCGTGTTTGTTATTTGTATTTATCCCTTATCCAGTCTGCTTCAAGAAAAATACACAAAGTGGATTCAGCATCACAATAAAAAGCGCAAAACATACCGCAATCTTCCATCTTGGGCGGCTGCTCCCCCTGTGATAATTTTGGTAATGAAAATACTTGAGTCATCTCCAATGTGTGGGTTGTCCGTACCTCCTGCAATGCTGAAACCAAGCCCTGAATTTCCCTGAGGATAGAAGAAAAAAAATTGAGACTGAATATGATTTATCTTTATGGACAGGTTCCTGTCATTAAAGGACGCAGAAACTGTACTAACATAAGGAACACAACAAATAAAGGTATATGGGTGAGTAATATAAAGATTCTAAATTAAATGGACTTGTTCTGGAGGAAAGTCCTTTCAGAGGCATTACTGCTGAACAGGTGAGGTTCAAGAAAATACACCAAGGACTTTTGAAGTATACTCCACAGTTCTTTCTTTAAAAGTATGTGCAACTTGTCGTTGGATTAGTCACCCATCTGCAGAGGTGTCACTGTAAGTCTGTTTCTTTTAGACTGCACCTCAGCCATGTTTGGTAGGGCACATCTCTCCTAAGAGACAAATGCTGAAGTGATCTTCCCGCTGTTATTTCTGAGTAGGCAAAACCCATATACTGTTTTAGCCTTTAAAAAAGGGGGTGGCGATGGTGCTTTTCTTCTGCTAACTTGACATCAGCTTATTTTTAAATGACCAAATTGTGGCTGCTAAGTGATAGCTGCCATCAGTCCCTGACATGTTTAACCAATATACCCGATTAGCAAAAGGCATTGTTTCACACTGACTGAAAGACCAACCTGAGAACTTAACATTGGTGAATTTTCTTGACAGCAAAGTAAATTTTGCCAAAGCAGCTCTACTTTTTGCTTGTTTTATGAACTGGAGAAACAAGATTTCTGAATATGTTCTTCACAGAAAGGGTTCGACTGCTACAAAAAGCCTTTAAAAATAATTGATTTAACCAATGGTATTAAAAAATGTTTATTTCTTGAAGAATGTTCTAACTGAATTTCAGGCAACTCAAGTAAGCAAATATATGTGGACCTATCATTTA
Source organism: Homo sapiens (assembly GCF_000001405.40). Classification (NCBI taxonomy): domain Eukaryota; kingdom Metazoa; phylum Chordata; class Mammalia; order Primates; family Hominidae; genus Homo; species Homo sapiens. The sequence continues at coordinate 197,141,130 of NC_000003.12, forward strand.
ACTGTTAGTATTAAACAGTGTAAACACCCACTCTACCACCATTTGTCTTAAAATTCTATTTTAATAAAAAAATGTTTTTCAATCTAACTTCATGAATTACCTGAATCTTAAGAACAGTACCAGTGGATTATGGGAGGTTACCAAATTACTTAGGTACTCAAGTTCTTCAACCAGTGAAAAATACAATGTATAGTCCTAACTAAACAAAAGGAATTTAAAAGGCCCTGGGAAAAGATAAAAAATCAATAATATAAAAAGTTAGGAGACATCACAAACTACTATATTAAAGTATGTACAGTACATTAATACTGTGCTTACTTGAATATTACTCCAGTAGCCACCCAACTTGAGCAAGTGATCCGAATTTAAGTAGATGGCAATAAAGATATACATGTAAGAGACTCTCTCAGATTTATTTTTCTCAGATTCTATTCCAATATAAATAAATCTAATTATCTAGGATTTCAGTCTTGAGTATACACACATTTAGTTACTTAAGAAATCTGCTTGTGTGAAACACTAGATTTCCATAAAATGCTAGCCAGATAAGGTGGCATTACTATTATAACATACAATAAAAACTGAATGCAGATATTCTTTTTTCTTTTTTTTAGACAGAGTCTCACTCTGTCACCCAGGCTAGAGTGCGATCTCGGCTCACTGCAACCTCTGACTCCTGGGTTCAAGTGATTCTCCTGATTCGAGTAGCTGGGATTACAGGTCTGCGTTACCACACCTGGCTAATTTTTGTATTTTTAGTAGAGACGGAGTTTTGCCATGTTGGCCAGGCTGGTCTTGAACTTCTGGCCTCAAGTGATTCACCCGCCTCGGCCTCCCAAAGTGCTGGGATTACAGGCGTGAGTGCAGATATTCTTGAGGGAAAAACATATCTTAAGAAAATTTGCACATCTGAATTGCACCTTCAAGTCATTTTCTGATTGGGCAAGTATACCATAATTAGTTTTTAATACAGCTCTGTCTGTTAGAAGTATGGTTATTTTGCTAGAAAAGAAAATTGATATAATGACCATGTTACTAGTATACTACTTACTTAATACGAACAATACTTCATTATCATATGCATATAAACAATATAAACAAAATTAAAAAGCAAGAAAAATCTGAGAAACTATCACAATCTAGAGGGGTCTAAGGCGGCAGGATAACTAAACGTAATGTAGTTTCCTGGATGGGCCTCTGAGAGAGAATAACATAAAAAGTAAGGAAATAGAGACTTCAGTTAATAATAATGTATGAATACAGGTGTCTTAGTTGAAATAAATGTACTCTAGTAATAGAAGATGTTAACAATAGAGGAGGCTGAATCCAGAGTAAATGGAAACTCTTGGGACTATCTTTACAACTTCTTTGTAAATCTAAAACTATTGTAAAATAAAAAGTTTATTAAAAAAATAAGGTTACTAAAGAAAAGGCAAATGTTTTGAAAATACCTTGGCCAATTTTATGAACTGGGAACTTAGAAAATATCATATAGTTCTGTTTTTGAGAGATCTCCCTTGGATTCTGTATGAAAAAGCAGTATATTACAAAGTTCTCTAGAACAACAGATTAAGATAATAGTTTTTACCCTTTCAAGTGTGATTTCTTCATATTCATAATCTGCATCTGTGCCATTAACCTACAGGGGAAAAGAAAAGCAGCTCAGAAACTTCAGAGTGTAAAATCCAAAATGGCAAGGCAAAATTTTTGTATGATTTATTAATGAAAACCTGTTGAATGCGACAGTAATCAAACACAATAGCTTCATTTTAATAATTCTGGGGAAGATTTTCAAGGAATGGAAAAATACAAATGTGATTAATGAGTTGACAACATTCGTGGTATCATGACTTTCAAATCCAGGATAGGTACATTCAGCTTTTAATAGTTTCAACCTCCGATCCTTCTCTGTCTTGATCCACACATCTAATCAGTTACCAACTGTTTCTGATTTGAACACCTTAATTTTTTGGAAAATCATCACCTCTTCACTCTCATTTCTAATACCTTTGTTCAGGCCTTGTTCAACCTCCTCTGGAATGGAATACTGTCAATGCAGTCTGCCTAATCGCTTAGATTAGTATTCCCCACTGCCCAAATCACTGTTTTAAACAGCTGGATCTTTTTTGTTTTGTTTTTTTGAGATGGAGTCTCGCTCTGTTGCCCAGGCTGGAGTGCAGTGGTGGCGTGATCTTGGTTCACTACAAGCTCCGCCTCCCGGGTTCACACCATTCTCCTGCCTCAGCCTCCCGAGTAGCTGGGACTACAGGTGCCTGCCCACCACGCCCGGCTAATTTTTTGTATTTTTAGTAGAGATGGGGTTTCACCGTGTTAGCCAGGATGGTCTCGATCTTCTGACCTCGTGATCCACCCGCCTCGGCCTCCCAAAGTGCTGGGATTACAGGCGTGAGCCACCGTGCCTGGCAACAGCTGGATCTTTTTAAAGCCCATAACATACTTCCTCTAAAACTTTCACAACTCTCCCTTCCTAGAAATATCCAAACTCTATGGGTTGGTAATCATGTCTTCGAATGAACTGACCCCAATGTACTACTTCCCTTCATTCTTCACCTCTTCATAGGCCTTACATACCAACCCTTTCTGTGAACGACTTGCTCTTTCCATTACATATCCTGCAATTTTCCACTTCGACATCTGGAATTTTGTGCCTCCTCGGTCACAAATTTCACTTACATGTTTTATGTCAAAATCAGTCACCATTCAAGATATCTTGGTCACAATTTATCTCCCTCCAATTTATTTCCTAGTCTCTCCTGAAAGAAGTTAACTCCTACAGTAAAGGCCACTGGTGAAACAAGTCCCTGGAATCAGATGAACATGGGTTTGAATCCTTCCTTTAAAATTTCTCGTGATATGAGGCTGGGCAAAACTCTATCTAAATCAAATGTGGACTGTGATAAATTCTACTTCTGAAGATGGCTCACATCTTCCATTCCAGACATTCTTTTGCAATATAACTAAATCACCCTACCATCAAAAGGAGTCTCTTTCCTCTTCAATTAGATCTAGGCAAGCCCTGTGACTAGCTTTGACTAAAATAAATGTGGCACAAATGATGCTGTGTGATTTCTGAGACTAGGTCATCTGATGCCTGATAGTATTATTTGCCTTTGCTTGGAATATATTTTCTTTAGAACCCAGCAGCTATAACATGAGTAAAACTCAAACAGCCTACAGAGAGATCTAACCAACAGAGAACCAAAACCCTTGGCCAAAAGCCCCAGCTACACTCCTAACCAGCAGTCAGCACCACCAACTATCAGCCACGTGAATAAGGCTATTTGGACCTCCCAACCTTGTCAAGTGCCCTAACCCACACCATGTAAAGCAGAGCCATCCAATTCATTATGAGAAAAAATGAACTGTTGTTCTTTTAAGCCCCTAAGCTTCAGGGTAGTTTGTTATGCAATGATAGATAACTGCAAGAGAAATAACAAAACCTACATAAGCTACTTTGCTTTCTTAACCATACTATAAAATGTAGCCCTTAATTCAGGTCTAATATAGGGACCAGGAGTTTCTTCCTTGAGAACTTTTGAAGCCCATCTCTACTACCCTTTTGGGTTCTTAACTCTTGTGATTCTCCTAGATTCAAACCCTATTACTATTTTGTTCCCTCTTCTTTCTCATCTATAGACATTTTCCTCTTAGAGATTATATGTTATAAAGGCATTTATATAGAGAGAGTTGGGATTTCACTCTGTTACCCAGGCTGGAATGCAGTGGCATAATCATAGCTCGTTGCAGCCTCAAACTCCTGGACTCAAGTGATCCTCCTGCCTTAGCCTCTTGAGTAGCTGAGACTACAGGCACATGCCACCATGCCTGGCTGTTTACTTTTGTTTTTCATAGAGATGGGGTCTATGTTGACCAGGAGCTCGCTTGCTTGCTCTCTCTCTCTCTCTCACACACACACACACACACACACACGTAAAATCTCTTTATCTCAGTTTAGGAGGAGTAACTTCAAGAGCTGTGTTGATCATGTCTGTGCATCTAGAGTACGGGAGGCTTACCTACTTGACAGGAAGTCCTTTGTTACGAGTAAAATTTTTATTTGCAGCAATATCCCCTTTCTTATTCTAAAGGTTATTTGCATCATCTTGTTTCTTACTCAAGACTTGCTAAAAGTCTATCAGTCTTTATCGAATAAGCAGTTTTGACATTATTGATGAATCTATTACATTTCATGGTATTACTTTCTGTTTTTAACAGTTCTTTAGTCCTTTGATTTTCTAAAAAAGATTTTTGAGTTGAATGCTCAATTTATGCTTACTCTATTCTATTTTTAGAAACCTCAAAATTTACCAATTTTCCTTGGCATATGGATTAGGCCAAATCCCACAACTGCTAGCTGCACTGAGCTCCATTTTTGTTCATTTGTTTATTTCTAAATAATCTAAAATTTTATTTTCGAAAACATTTCCAAATGAGTGTGCTTATATGGCCCTTTTGGCATTAACGTAAAATTTTGATACTGTGACCTTATGATTTCTGCCTTAAGGAATCTGAGATTTTTCACCTTTAAGTTTCCTCACAAGGTAGGTGCTCAGTAAATATTCCTGGTGCTTAATTTAATGCCAATTCATGATGTAGGTTTCTAAGCAGCACATAAAAGGGGCTTTTTAGGTAGCACTGAGTACTTTACTAAAAATACAAAAATTAGCCAGGTGTGGTGGTGCACGTCTTTAATCCCAGCTACTCAGGGCGGGGGCCAAGGGGTGGGGTAGGGTGGGGGCTGAGACAGGAGAAGCACTTGAACCCAGGAGGCGGAGGTTGCAGTGAGCTGAGATTGTGCTACTGTACTCCAACCTGGGCAACAAACAGAGTGAGACACTGTCTCAAATAAATAAATAAATAAATAAATAAAATAAAATAAAATAAAAAGAACTCGACCCTTTTTACAATAGCTAAAGGAAAATAAAATACTTAAGAATATACTTAACCAAGGAGGTGAAAGACCTCTACAAAGAAAACTACAAAACACTGCTGAAAGAAATCACAGATGACACAAACAAAAACACATCCCAAGCTCATGGACAGGTAGAATCAATACTGTGAAAATGACTATACTGCCAAAAGCAATCTACAAATTCAATGCAATTCCCACCAAAATACCACCATCATTCTTCACAGAACTAGAGAAAACATTCCTAAAATTCATATGGAACCAAAAAAGAGCCTCCACAGACAAAGCCAAACTAAGCAAAAGGAACAAATCTGGAGGCATCACATTACCTGACTCCAAACTATACTATGAGGCCATAGTCATCAAAACAGCATGGTACTGGTATAAAAATGGACACACAGAATGAAGCAGAATAGAAAACCCAGAAATAAAGCCAAATACTTACAGCCACCTGATCTTTGACAAAGCAAACAAAAACATAAAGTGGGGAAAGGACACCCTATTTGACAAATGGTGCTGGGATAATTGGCTAGCCACATGTAGAAAATGAAACTGGATCCTCATCTCTCACCTTATAAAAACATCAACTCAAAATGGATCAAAAACTTAAATCTAAGACCTGAAACCATTAAAATTTTAGAAGATAACATCAGAAAACCCTTCTAAACATTGGCTTAGGCAAAGACTTCATGACCAAGAACCCAAAAGCAAATCCAACAAAAACAAAGATATGCAGATGGGATTTAATTAAACTAAGAAGCTTCTGCACAACAAAATAATCAGCAGAGTTAACAGGCAACCTACAGAGTGGGAGAAAATCTTCACAATCTATACTTCTGACAAAGGACTAATATCCAGAATCTACAAGGAACTCAAACAAACAAATCAGCAAGAAAAAAACAATCTCATCCAAAAGTGGGCTAAGGACATGAATAGAAAATTCTCAAAGGAAGATACGCAAATGGCTGACAAGCATATGGAAAAGTGCTCAACATCACTATCGGGAAAATGAAAATCAAAACCACAATGTGATATTACCTTACCCCTGCAAGAATGGTCATCATAAAAAAATAAAAAAAAATAGATGTTGGCGTGGATGCAGTGAAAAGGAACACTTTTACACTGTTGATGGGAATGTAAACTAGTACAACCACTATGGAAAACAGTACAGAGAGTCCTTAAAGAACTAAAAGGAGATCTACCGTTTGATCCAGCAATTCTACTACTAGGTATCTACACAGAGGAAAATAAGTCATTATATGAAAAAGATACTTGCACATGCATGTTTATAGCAGCGCAATTCACAATTGCAAAAATATGGAACCAGCCCAAATACCCATTTTTCCATGAGTGGATAAAAAATATATGGTGTGCACACACACACACACACACACACACACACACACACACACCATGGAATACTACTCAGCCATAAAAAGGAATGAAATAATGGCATTTGCAGCAACCTGAATGGAACTGGAGATTATTATTCTAAGTGAAGTAACTCAGGAATGGAAAACCAAACACAGTATGTTCTCACTCATAAGTGGGAGCTAAGCTATGAGGATGCAAAGGCATGAGAATGATACATTGGCATTTGGGGACTCGGGAAAGCGTGGGACTGGGGTGAGGGATAAAAGACTACATACTGGGTACAGTATACACTGCTCAGATGATGGGTGCACCAAAATCTCAGAAATCACCACTAACTTATTCATGTAACCAAACAACACCCGCTCCCTAAAAACTTACTGAAATTAAAAAAAAAATCCAAAAAACAAAAAATAAAATCCTGAAGTTTCCCATCCTTTAAAATTAAAAAAAAAAAAGAAATAAAAGGCATCCAGAGGTAAACTATCTCTATTTGCCAGTGACATGATCTTGTATATAGAAAATTCAAACTACATAACTACCAGAGGTAATAAATGAGTTCAGCAAGGTTGTAGGATAAAAGATAAACACCTAAAAGTCAATTATATTCCCATATGCTAGCAATAAAAACTCCAAAAATAAACAAAACAATTCCATTTATAACAGCATCGTAAGAATAAAATACTGGCTGGGCATGATGGCTCACCCCTGAAATCCCAGCACTTTGGGAGGCTGAGGCGGGCTGGATGACTTGAGCTCAGGAGTTCAAGATCAACCTAGGCAACATGGTAAAACCCCATCTCTACCAAAAATACAAAAAAAAAAAAAAAATAGCCAGTCATGGTGGCACGTGTCCGTGTTCCCAACTACATGGGAGGCTGAGGTGGGAGGATCATCTTGGGTCTGGGAGGTGGAGGTTGCAGTGAGCTGAGATTGTGCCAATGCACTCCAGCCTGGGTGACAGAGTGAAACTGTCTCAAGAAAAAAAAAAAAAAAAAAAAAGAGAGAGAATACATAGAAGTGAATTTAACAAAAGAACTCCAAGACTTGTACACAGAAAACTAAAGAACATTATTGAAAGGAATTAAAGAAATATACCCATATATTTACAGTTAACTGATTTTCTATATGGTTGCCAAGACCATTCAATGCGGAAAGAATAGTCTTTTCAACAAACAGTGATGCTATCCACATACAAAAGAATGAAGTTGGACCTCTACTTCACATTATACAAAAATCAACTCAAAATGAATCAAAGACCAAAATCTAAAAGCAAAACCATAAAACTCTTAGAAGAAAACTTAACTCTAAGTCTTTGTGATGTTGGATTATGCAATGGCTTCTTACATACAATACAAAAAGTTACAAAAGAAAAAATATAAAAATAATGGTTTTTAGACTCAATCATTATCACGAAATTGCGGCATTTTCTAAAGTTTTATCCACTTAAACTTCAACAAAAATGTAGCAGTATATTTTTACCCCATACTGTCACCAGCAGAATGTACTGACAAACTTTTTGCTCTTTTGATAACATAATGTTTAAGATGTATTAATTGTTTTAATTTGCATTTATGTTATTAACTCACCTTTTTCTACTTTTTTACCTTAACAAATTATGTTGAGATATTCACATATCATAAAATCTACCTTTTTAAAGTATGCAATTCAGTAGTTTCTAGTTTATTCACAGAGTTGTGCCATCATCATTACTTTCTAATTCCAGAACATCCTTATTACCCCATAAACAAACCCTGTACCTATTAGCAGTCACTCCCCATTCTGCCCTACACCCACCACCTGGCAACTGCTAATCTACTTTCAGTAACTATGGATTTATCTATTCTGGAACTTTCATATAATAAAATTATGCAACAAGTGGACTTTTGTCCCTGATCAATTTAAAATTACAAAGTTATAACTAATTATTTTCGTATATATGAATGCACAAAAAAAACCTGGTTACTAAAAATCTAGTCATTCAATTAGACTTCTAAAATGATTTAAATATATGGCACTGTGTAAGCAACCAATGGTCAGAGACAACCTTTTGTGAAAGTTAGCCATCATAATTTCTGAATTAAATTACGAATTTCTATTTCAAAATTTCTGCTTTACAAAAGGAAAAAAAAATGACCAAAGGAGGACCATACTACTTAATTTACTATAGCAATTACAGCTATAGTATATAGTGATAGAACATCTTAAGAGAAATGTATTAGAGAAAACAATGCCATGGTCTTCGCATTTGTATCAAAAAACGGAACAGGAAAGGCAGAATTACTTCAATGTGGGGAGGAAATGGAACTTACGTAAGTTGGTGTTTCCAAGCTATCTGTGTTGACCAGTACTGGGGGAGGATTTGCCTTTAAGAAGAAATTGTAAATGTGTTAACAAGAAAATAAAACATTACATGTTCATGTTCACAATGTTAGAGGCATAGGAAAGACTTGCTATTTCTTAAGTTATAATCTTATATGAGCTTTTTATATGTTAAATAATATATCCTTTCTCCAGCACCAAACAGAAAAAATTATGTATAAGCAGTTAAAACAGATTTGCTTTTAAGAAATAAATTGCTATTTCTGCTAAAGCAGCCATGATTTTCTTAAGTTTTACACAGATCACCATAGCCTTCTCATAAAACCCATGAATATTCTTTAGTGTAACCAATAACTCTTCCTAGGTTGCTTAGAAATCATTGTTTTCTCTTCCCAAAGATACAGTAAAGATTTCAATCATTTCATCACCCAGGAGAAAATTCTTCCCCACAGTGAACTGTTTTTAAACAAGGAAAAAAAAAAGTTCATCACAGAAAGAAATCAATTGTAAACTTTTAGAAACTAAAAACACACTCTTAATGTAAAAACCCGATTATTTTCAGCTGCAATGACTGCTTTCCAGTTATTCTAGACCACTCACAGAATTAACAGTGATTTATTACAGCAAGAAAAATAAGCAGAATAACACACACCTAGTTAAGTTTGGATTGAAAAAAAATCTTGGTTTTCTGGTTAGGTTAGAAATTATTATGTATATGAAACTAAAGAATAAAATGCAATAACAAATGAAAAATATAATAAAAATCTGATGTAATTCCCCTCAAAATTCTTTCTTCTGCATATTTAAAGTTATGAAAGTACCAAGTCACATAACACTTTCAGAGAATAAAAAAGATGACTATCCTTTAAACAAACTTTAGAAGATATGCTTACACACATTAATGGTTCTACTTCAATTACCTGAGGAATTATACATAAAAGCTGTATAAAGTAACACTGTAACACAAAATAACCATTTTCTTCCAAATGTACAGGCTTTTAATAAAGGGGAATATTCAAACTTCAAATAACACATTATTTTCAGCACAGTACCACAGCTAAATGATATGACAAAATGCTTAAAGACAACCTAGTTTCATGGTTAAAAAATTAAACAGTATGCATTTGGGCTACATCAAGCAGTAAGTTAAAAATGAGTAGCTAATACTTCATTATATATAAAAATAAAATTAAATATAATACTTTATGTTTAGTCCCACCATTAAATAATAGTCTACCTTTGAATAATTCGGTGAAAGTCCACTCAACAAATAAAAATTGTACTTATAAAACTGCTATTTAAGCAAAGCTACCCAACTTACAGACATTTGAGATTTTATGAATATTTCAAATTACTTATTTCCCAATGGTATATTGAGATTACTCAAACTGGTATTTTACGTTGCTAAAAAAATTAATAATACAACTTCACTTTATTCTGCTTAAGCAATTACAGAAGAAAAGGGCAAGAAAGAATAGGATATTTAAAGTTACAAAAGAAATTACATTTTAAAAACACTATGGCAAGAAAGCCTTTTGGTCCCTCTGCCGATTTTTTACCAAACATGCAGTGGAAAAAGTTGGTTTTTATCAAAATCTAATTTATACCATAATTATTATGTTAGCTGTTTATCAGTACCAACTCATCATCATTTTATAGAAGTTACCTTTTGATTCTATTCATTTAGAAAGTCTCGCTAATATTGAAATATATATAAACGAAATGATATAAGGTGTTATATTTACTTCAAAATAAAACAATGGAAGGTTGGGAGTAGGAGGGGTTATGAATCAAATAGAAGTACACGAGTTGATTGCTGCAGCTGGTGATGGGTATACATAGAGTTCATTGTACTATTCTTTCTACATTTGAATATTTCTGAAATTTTGCATAATAAAAAGTAAACCAAAAAATCACTTTGAGCCAAGTACTCAGTTTTAAAGAGGTTAATAGCTAAAGTAGTTGTGAAATACTCTGGGTCAGGGTTGCTATTAAGATACTGGCATTCAGCCAAGTGCAGTGGCTCATGCCTGTAATCCTAGCACTGTGGGAGGCCAAGGCTGGTGGATCACTTGAAACCAGGAGTTCAAAACCAGTCTGGCCAACATGGGTGAGCAAAATTATGTTTCTTAAGCCTTATTACCGATGCTTGGGTCAAATTATTTAGGGGCTTTTTAGTTCCTCCTTCTGGAATATCCTTGCCCTTTTACTGCCTCTACCCCCAATCTCTAAGTGAATTATAGAGCTTCACTGTTGTCCAAGTTGGAACTATACACAATGGTATATAAATTTTAGTAACAGAATAAGCATTTCTATAGCTTCCTATGATTTGCAACATATTTTCTTTTATATTACTTCTCTAGAGCCTCACACAGTCCCCCTGGGTAAAGACAGGTATTGCTATCTTTTCACAGATGGAGAAAATGAATTTTAATAATAACTGTGATTTACCTATACTCAAATGTCACTGAGTGGTAGAGGGAGGTATAGAGAGACCTAGAACCAGGTCTGAGATTACAGGGTCACTTGAACCAAGGTGCAATGAGGGCTTTTTCTTCATCTGAAATAATTTCACGTAGACTCTTTCCAAGTCTTTTAGTTGTAGTTGTTTGATTTTCCATGTTACCTGTTCTACTACTCGCTGTCTTGGTTAAGGATCCCAAAGTCTTTTTTTTTTTTTTTTTTTTTGAGATGGAGTCTTGCTCTGTCACCCAGGGTAGGACTTTTTAAAACTCAAGTTTAGGCCGGGTGCGGTGGCTCACGCCTGTAATCCCAGCACTCTGGGAGGCCAAGGCGGGTGGATCACGAGGTCAGGAGATCGAGACCATCCTGGCCCCGTCTCTACTAAAAATACAAAAAAATTAGCTGGGCTTCGTGGCAGGCGCCTGTAGTCCCAGCTACTTGGGAGGCTGAGGCAGGAGAATGGTGTGAACCCAGGAGGTGGAGCTTGCAGTGAGCCGAGACAGCACCACTGCACTCCAGCCTGGGCAACAGAGCGAGACTCTGTCTCAAAAAAAAAAAAAAAAAAAAAAAAGTCAAGTTTATTGGCTGGGCACATGGCTCACCCAAATTTTACCATTCTATTTCATCAACAAAGGATCTTGTAGTGATTGCTGCTGTAACAGACTGAAGCAGCCTTACAAAGTTTCAGAGGGCAATATTACATTTTTAAAAATCGTGTTAAAATACATTCTAAGATCCAATTATTTTAAAATAGGTCAAAATAGTTTAGAAAATCCACTTTTACAATCTGCATTGTATTTCTCCTTCTCAGCATTGATCAAAGTTTCATTATGTTATTTGTCTAGTGTTTCTTTCTCCTCTACTCAATTATGAACAAGTGCTTTACAAGTGCTTTTCCAATGCAAAACTCACAAACTCCAGAGAATTCTTCTTAGATCCTAATTTGAGACACATTGCATTCAAAGTTAAATGCTATGACTGAGGTGATCACTGCAGGTTAAAATGATTGTAAAAACAAATGGGGTGGATTCTGGAAAGAAGGTAGAGTAGGAAGCACCACAAATCTGTTTCTCCACCTTGAACACAATTTTAGTGGCAGCATGTGTCTGATGTAGATGTTTTGGAACTTGGAGTCTACTGAAGGCTGGCAACTTCCAGGTGAACTGTAGTTAATTTCAGTGACCTGCAGGCTTAGCACAGCAGCAGCTCCCCACACTCTATCCCTCAGTCAACTGTGTACCGCCTGCACAAGCCACGGTGGGCAGAGAAAATTACATTCTCCAAATACTGGAGATCTGTGCTCTGAATGCTGCTTCTCATCACAAAGGTGCAAACAGGCCCTGGATACTGCTGTTCCACCTCCTCCTCATTGTTGGAAACCCCACCCCAACCTCCCAGGCTGAACTGACTTCCAGGAGATTGAAAGAGCTGGAGGCCTCCCCTTCCTACACACCAATTCAATTTTCTTTTTCCCCTTTTGGGAGCCAGACATTGAAGACTAGGACATTAAAAACCAACCACATGTATGGAGGAAATTAGAAAGTCACTGTGCATGCCCAGGGGAAGGCATAGGCTCAGAAAATATCTAAGAAGACCCTACGTTTACACCTGAGGCTGATCTTTGATAGCCTACAACAATCAGAAAAACAATAACAACAAAAAAAGAAAACCCTGGAGAAGAAGGAGAATCTGATTTTCAGAGTTACCAAATTATTAAATTCAAGTGTGCTGTTTAAATAAACAAGAATAAGTGGCTTATTAAAAAAAATATAAATCAATATAAACTGTTCCTTAAAAAAAAATAAGGCTGGGTGTGGTGGCTTACGCCTGTAATCCTAGCACTTTGGGAGGCTGAGGCGGGCAGATCACAAGGTCAGGAGTTTGAGACCAGCCTGGCCAACATACTGAAACCCTGTCTCTACTAAAAATACAAAAAATTAGCTGGGTGTGGTGGCAGGTGCCTATAATCCCAGCTACTTGGAAGGCTGAGGCAGAAGAATCACTTGAACCTAGGAGGTGGAGGTTGCAATGAGCCGAGATGACACCACTGTACTCTAGCCTGGGCAACAGAGCAAGACTCTGTCAAAAAAAACAAAACAAAACCAAAAAACCAAAAAAACCCACAAAAACCTGATAGCAAATCTACTAGACAAAGACTTTATTAAAGAATTAAAAGATGGCCGGGCACAGTGGCTCACACCTGTAATCCCAGCACTTTGGGAGACTGAGGTGGGTGGATCACTAGGTCAGGAGATCGAGACCATCCTGGCTAACACAGTGAAACCCCGTCTCTACTAAAACTACAAAAAATTAGCCGGGCGTGGCGGCAGGTGCCTGTAGTCCCAGCTACTCGGGAGGCTGAGGCAGGAGAATGGCGTGAACCCGGGAGGCGGAGCTTGCAGTCAGCCGAGATGGCACCACTGCACTCCAGCCTGGGTGACAGAGCCAGACTCTGTCTCAAGAAAAAAAAAAGAATTAAAAGATGTGAACAAAAGCAAGAAAGTGCTGTATGAACGAAACGGAAATATCAATGAAGAGAAATAAAAATTATAAAATTCAGGAAATGAGAAGTACAATAACAGAAAATTCACTGGAGAGATTCAAAAGCATATCTGAGCAGGTAAAAAAAGTAGTGAACATGAGATAGGACAAGGGAAAGTACTGAGTCTGAAGAACAGAAATAAAAGAGATTCAAGAAAAGTGAACAGAACCTAAGGGACCCGTGAGACATCATCAAGCAGACCAACTAATGCATTGTGGGAGTTGCATGAGAAATGACAGATAAAAGAGTAGAAAAAATATTTGAATAATAGCCAAAACTTCTCAGATTTCATGAAACACATGAATATAAACATCCAAGAAGCTCAATAAACAATAATGAAATCCAACAGACTCACACTGAGACACATTATACTAGAACTGTCAAAGGCCAAAAACAAAGGGAGATTTTTGAAAGCAACAAGAGAAGTGACTTGTCACATACAACAAATCCTCAATGAGATTATCAGCAGACTTCACATCAGACACTCTGGAGGTCATATGGCAGTGGGTGGAAATACTCACTGCTAAAATAAGACGAAAAAAACCCAAACCTGTCAACTAAGAATCCTATATCCAGCAAGACAGTCCCTCAAAATTAAGGGGGAAATTAAGATGTTCTCTGATGAACAAAAGCTGAGGGAGTTTGTTATCACTAGAACTGCCCTGAAAGATGTGCTAAAGGTAGCAGTTCAGGTTGAAATGAAAGAAAACTAGACAGCAACTCAAAGTCATATGAAGAAATAAAGATCTCAGTAAAGGTAAATACATAGGTAATAATAAACACTAGTTAGTAATATTGTAACAATGGTTATGTAAATCTGCTTTTGGTTTTCCACATGATTGAAGAGACCATTACATTTTCAAATTTAAAAAAAAAAAAAACTTAGCCTAGCCAGGCATGGTGGCTCACACCTGTAATCCCAGCACTTCAGGTGGCCGAGGCAGGCAGAGATGGCTTGAGCCCAGGAGTTCAAGACCAGCCTGTGGAACATGGTGAAACCCCATCTCTACAAACAAAACAAAACAGCAACAACAACAAAAATTAACCAGGTGTGGTAGGCACATGCCTGTAGTCATGGCTATTCAGGAGACTGAGGCGGGAGAATCGATTGGGCCCAAGAGGTTGAGGCTGCAGTGAGCTGTGATGGCACCACTGCACTCCAGCCTGGGCTACAGAATGAGACCCTGCCTATAAATAAATAAATAAATAAGCCTAATATTAATAAACAAAGTCAATATTGGTAAATAACGAAAATCAATTATTAGTTTAAAAGCTAACATTATAACTTTGATTTGTAACTTCATATTTTGTCTCCTACATAATTTAAGAAACGAACGCATTAAAAATTACTAGTTTCTGTTTTTGGGCATACAATATATGAAGATGTAATTCTGTGACATCAACAACTGAAAGGGGTTGGGACAGAGCAGTTAAAGGGGCAGAGGTTTTGTATATTATTGCAGTTAAGCTTGTACAAATTGAGATTAGAAGTGTCTAGGATGTTAAATGTAATCCCCATGGTAACCACACAAAATATAACTAAAGAATAGACACAAAGGAAACAAGAAAGTTAAATGTTTCACTACAAAAAATTAATCAAAGACCAAAGAAGACAGTAATGCAGGAAATGAGGAACAAAAAAGCTACAAGGCATATATATAAAGAAAACAAATAGCAAAATGACAAAAGTAAGTCTTTCCTTACCAATAATTACTTTAAATGTAAATAAACTCTTCAATCAAAAGACAGAAATTGGCAGAATAAAAATTTTAAAATGTTCCAACCACAAGCTGTACACAAGAGACTCACTGTAGATCCAGAGACACAAATATGCTGAAACTGAAGGACAGAAAGGGGTATTTCATGCAACAGTAACCAAAGGAGAGCAGGAGTGGCTGTACTCATAACAGACAAAATAGACTTTAAATAAAAAAAAGGTTATGAGACAACAAAGGTATTATACATTAATAAAAGGTTCAATATAGGAATGTAACAATTACAAAAATTAACGCACCTAATAGCAGACCATCAAAATGTTAAGTAGCAAAAATGAGACAGAATTGAAGAAAGAAATGGTTCTACAATAATAGCTGGAGACTTCAATACCACATTCTCCATAATGGGCAGAACAACCAGACATATGATAAGTAAGGAAATAGAGGAGATGAACAAACACAATATACCAAAGAGACACAGAACTCTAACAATAACAGAACACACATTCTTCTCAAGTGCACATGGGAATAGAAGGAAACTATGTCAACCTAAGAAAAACCATATACAAAACACACACAGTGAACATCATACTCAGTGGTGAAAGACTGAAAGCTTTTCCTCTAAGATAAGGAAGAAGGCAAGTATGTCTGCTTTCACCACTTGTACTCAACATGACCACTAGCTGAATAGTTGAAGTTGTTGTCAAAGCAATTAGGCAAGAAAAAGAAATAAAAGACATCCAAATTAGAAAGGAAGAAGCAAAATTACTTGTTCACAAATGATATGATCTTATATGTAAAACACCCTAAAGATTCTACACAAAAACTGTTAGAATTATTAAACCAATTAAGCAAAGTAGCAGGATACAAAGTCAATACACAAAAATCAGTTGTATTTCTTCTAACACTGAACAATCTAAAATGGAAATTAAGAAAACAATTCTGTTTATTATAGCATCGAAAAGAACAAATTTTCAGAACACTGAGCCTCCTAAATGAAGAATTAACTTCATCAAGAAAGTAAAAAACTTGGGCAATGAAAACTATAAAACATGTATGAAAGAAATTAAGAAGACATAAATAAATGGGAAGGGATCTGTGGTCATAGATTGGAAGACTTACTATTGCAAAAATGTCAATATTACCCAAAGCAATCTATAGACTTAATGCAATTCCTATCAAAATCCCAGTAGGGTTTTCAAAGAAATAGAATAACCCATCCTAAAAGTCACATAGAATTTCACGGTACCCTGAAAGCCAAAATGGTAATGAAAAAGAAAAACAAAGGTGGCGGGCTAACACTTCCTGATTCCAAAACTTACTACAAAGTTACAGTAACAGAAACAGTCTGGTACTGGCATGCAGACAGACATACAGAAGGGAATAAAACAGAATCCAGAAATAAATGCCATATACAATTATCAACCTACAATGGATCATGATCTAAATGTAAAACCTAAAACTTAAAACTGTTAGAAGAAAACACAGGCTAAAAGCGAGACACTGGAATTGTCAATGATTTCTTGGATATGACACAAAGGTACAGACATGTCTTGTCTGTAATCTCTGACAAGACATGAGACCCAGAATACACAGAGGAACTCCTAAAACTCGACGATAAAACCAAACACCCTAATTAAAAAATGGTCAAGGAACTCATACAGACATTTTCCCAAAGAAGACACACACATGGACAATAAGCACATGAACAGATGTGTCACAAATGCAAGTCAAAACTACAATGAGATGTCACCTCACACCCACTAGCCTGGCTACTATGAAGAAAACAGAAAATAAAAAGTGTTGGTGAGGATGTGGAGAAATTGGAATCCTTGTGCACTTTGGTGGAAATATAAAATTCTACAACTGGCTGGATGCAGTGGCTCATGCCTGTAATCCCAGCACTTTGGGAGGCCGAGGCAGGCGGACTACCTGAAGTCGGGAGTTTGAGGCCAGTCTGACCAACATGGAGAAACCTCGTCTCTACTTAAAAAAAAAAAAAAAAAAAAAAATTAGCCGGGCGTGGTGGCACATGCCTGTAATCCCAGCTACTCGGGAGGCTGAGGCAGGAGAATCACCTGAACCCGGGAGGTGGAGGCTGTGGTGAGCCGAGATTGTGCCATTGCACTCCAGCCTGGGTAACAAGAGCAAAACTCCATTTCAAAAAAAAAAAAAAAAAAAAAAAGCCCAGAGGCAGTATGATGCTCTGCTCTGGACATACCTCTAAGGTAATTACTCTCACATTATGCGGGAGCTATTTGTTAAACTTGTCTCTTGCACAAACACCTAGTAGGCCCCTAGAGGACAGAGACGATGTTCTATTCATCTTCAAAGCACATATTCAAATATCAAAAAAGACCATGCACAAAAAATTAGCTCTTAAAGCATTTTCAACAATACTTTAATTACATGATAGCTTTTCAGAACTGATAGAAATAAAGGTTTAAAACATCTAGTTTTAAAGCAGAGTATTTACTCTAGGGTGCAAATAAGCCTCTGGATTTAATAGGCTAGTATCACAGAGATTATGTGTTTACACTCCCAGTAAGAAGAACTAGTAACTGTCACCTACTCTGTACTCAGTTTCTATGTGGAGAAACTGAGGCTCTCAGAAGTTGAGTAATTTCCACACCATCACACGTAGAAACAGGTGAAGCTAGGAAGTGGTGGAGTCGGGTAGGACTATAAACTCCACGTTCTTTCTGCAATATTAAGCAGCCATTAAATATTACCTTTATCTGTGCCACTCTGTATAATAAGCATAATTCTGATTTGTAGAAGACTTTCATAAAGTACAAACAATATGATCAATGTGAAAGTACTCTGAAAAGTATAAAAGTGTTCTACAAATCATGAAAGACTATATACTTTTTAAAAAGTTTTCATCTATGTATCTTTCTAATTTGCCTGACTCTCAAACTCATTTTAAAGGAGTCAGGTTGGCGTTACCCCCCATTTTAATAGATGAAGGGGGTATAAAACTCAGAGAGGGTAACTAGCTTGAGTGGCAAAGACAGACTAGATTCTAAATCTTTTCTTCTGTTTTTATTTCTAATACATCCTAACGCATCTAAATGTAAAGTAGTGGATCTTTTAAGAATACATATTCACTTAATATGTTGAAATTGGGTTATATGTTAGTATGTATTTTAAATTTTACTTGGGGACGGATATTTTAGTCCATTATTTTAATTTTATAATGTACACATTGTACTTCACTAATTAGGAACACACTTATTCTGGAAAATGAGGTGCACTCATTGGCTTCTCACATAACACAACAAAAATGGTAAAACTATCTTTCATGAACTTCCGTAGTGTATTTAAAACCTAAAGTGAAGCTATGCAGAATAAATAGGTCTTTTTTGTGTGTATCCTCAATAAATATCCTCATTTAAAAAAACAAAACAAAACTTGTTCCTTAGTTTGCTGTCTCAGAGAAATATGAGATAACACTAAAAATATGGGCGGCTAAGATTATGTGCCAGTACCTGACGTGCATTAAGCATCCTCTCCATCACTGTAAAGCGCCTCAAGTTAGTACTCCTGTCTATCTTCAGTGTTACAGATGAGTAAATGGAAGTGCGCTGTGGTTAAGTGAAGTGTGCAGTTACACAGGTTAAGTGGTAGGACTGGAATTCCAACCCCAGGTCATTCTGACTTTAAAACGTGTATTTTTATAAGACTATGCAAGATCTCAACAATTTTCAAATGCAGTGGGATGCTAAGTTAGGGTTGCTTGGAGTAAATAAATGAGAGAATTCTGAATAGGAAAAGACAGGCTCCCAAATGAATATAAAGAGACTGGTACAAATTCTCAAAGGATTCCAGAAAACTATTTTAACACCAAAAAATTGACTGAAGTGAGAAGAGTAAAATAAACTTTCAATTCTATTAAAAAAAAAAAAAACTGTACTAATAAACTCTATATATTTGGAAAGATGTTACATTATTATGATGCCATAATAACCCTTAAACTGTTTGCTCAGAATTATATTTTATTTATAAATTCAATTTTTTTCCTGCAATATAGAGAGAATATCCATTTGGATTCATCTATTCATTGTTGGTTTTATGACTTAATTTTTAATTATTTTCATAATCAAAAATTATATAGTAGCAGTATTATTATAATGATTACAATTCAGTCTTATTACAGTAAGGCTGAAGTCATTGTAACACTGTAATTTCCCCTAGAATCCTTGGTTGTATGGATGTTCCCACTGACTTCACTTTTTAGGAGAGGGGAAGGGCACTGAGATGTGAATAATCACAGCTGATATATCATTTTTTCCCCAATGGAGCTTATTTTGAAACTGTTTACACAGCAAACATATGTTTACCCAGATTTTAGGCTACAGATCAATAATGGCAAAAAAAAATCTATGGGTTCATTTATTTACACTTTAAATGAGATCGTGATCTTTCACACCAAAGATCTTTATTATTATCTTTAATACCACTACCATTATTTTGACTTTGGATAACTGTTGGAAGGGCAGTTAATGTCTCAAGCCACCCCTTGGAAGTAGTAAAGCTTTGAAAAACTAAAAATGATTAGACTCTCTCACATTTGGCTATTATTTTTAAACTGTTACACATAATTTTTTAAAAGTAAAATTTTACAACAGATTTACAGAAAAGTTGTGAAGATAGCACAGAGCATTCCCATATACTCCCAGATATGTTGGCTATTATTTTTACCTAATAAATGTGAAGTGTGTTATCTAATCAAATAACATAAGAATGAATATTTCCAAAGAAGATAAATATATAACAGGAAACAAAGTGTTAAATAAAATGATACATTGGTACAAGATCAGGAGTACAATGATTTTTACTAACTTTAGAAGAATAAAGTGTTCTAAAGTAAAAATGTTTAAAAACTGTTTTAAGCAGATTTCTAAGTACAAAGGCATGAAAACAAATCTAAGGTTCAATATTATGAAGTTCATTGTGTCCCATTTCACAGACAACCTAATAAAATGGCAAATCCTGACTCCACTTATATTAAATCCCAAATGTTTAAGTCCCTAAAACTACTAACTGAAGCCCAAAGTAAATTACCAAATTACAAAAAACAGCTCAAACAGTTTTAAAAAAGAACACAAATGAAACATTAAAAGCAAATGAAATTTTTATAAAGAAAAAAGAAACTAATAAAAACCTGTGGTATGGTGGGTAGGATGACAGTATTCTCAGCAGGGACTGGCAGGACAGGGATCACAGGGACAGTGGGAGGAGAGGGAAGAACAGCTTCTGTTGGCTAAAAATCATCAATGACAAAAAATCAGGAAAAACACCAAAATAAAAGGGAAACACATAACAAAAAGCTGTGCCATAAAGATAAATTATAGTTTTCAGAAATAACTATGCAACAGGAAAAACATTAATACATTACACTAATATAAATGAGAAAATATTCTCTAGAAATTGTTTTAGAAAGTTATACCCCCATAATAATTTTAATGATTCTGTAATAAAATGAATGCCTACTCTTTAGATGCTTAAATCATAATAATAAAAGATTATCATTTACAATATTCCTTCCTTCTCTGGGAGATAAGACACTTGCTTCATAGACAGACTGCAAAATATTTTTTCTAGCACTCAGAATACATCTCACTACTTTCCTCTATGCATTCAGAAAACTAAAAGTAATTTTATTAGCCCAATCAGGCAGACAAAGAGAGTTTACAAATCCGTGATACTAACTTCTGTTATCAAGAACAGTAATAACTTGCCTCAACATGCCTGTAATTAATTCAACTAACATTGATTGTCTATTACATGCCAGACATATCTGGCAAAAATGAAAAAACAACGTAGAGAGAACCTGGTATAAATTAAACTAAAAAGTTCACTGTTTTATCTGGCTTGTTATTTTTAAAAGGATGAAACTGGAACACAGGAAAGTTGTTTAGTAATAAGACCCATTTGCTATATAAATAAAATATCTTATATATGTAAGAAAAACACTAAAATCAAGCAGATGAGGACAGCCTGCCTTAACAGGCCTTAAAACAGGAAGAACAAATTGCCAGACTAAAAAAAGGGCTTATCTTCATTCATAAATGCAAAATAAAATGGCAATGATCTTTTCTGCCTACCAAATTAGTCAAATTAAGATTTATTAACAATGTATGGAGTCTCTTCAACAATGGTGCTGAGACAACTGGATATCCACATGCAAAAGATGAAGGTCTATAGACCCCCATCTCACATTATATATAAAAATTAACTCAAAATTGATTAACAACCTAAATATGAGATTTGAAAACATAAAACTCTTACAAGAGAACATAGGGTTAATCTTTGTGACCGTGGATTTGGTAATGGAACCTTAGAAATCATAAATGATGAAAGAAAAAAATCAATTAGACTCTAACAGAATTAAAACCTTTTGTGCACCAAAGGGCATTACCAAGCAAGTGAAAAGACAGCCTACACAATGGGAGAAGGTATTTGCAAATCATACACCTGATAAGGGTTTAATATCCAGAACATTTAAAGACTCTTACAACGCAACAACACAAAGAGAAACAACCCAATTAATGAATGTGTGAAGAGCTTGAATAATTTCTGCAAAGAAGGTATACAAGTGGCCAATTAGCACACGAAAAGATGCTCGACATCATTAGTCCTTAGGGTAATACAAATAAAAGCTATAATGAGAGATTACTTCACCACTACAAGGGAAGTGTCTAATTAAAACAAAACAAAAAACAAAGTAACAAGTGGTGGCAAGGATGTGGAGAAACTGGAACTCTGGTACAATGCTGGTGGGAAATGTAAAATGGTACAGCTTCTGAGGAAACTTTTAGTGGTTTCTTAAAAACCAACCATAGAATCAGCATCTGATCTAGCAATTGGGTAGGTAAATATGCACTGGGTAGGCATATTCCCAAAAGTGAGAGCAAGGACTTGGACACTTGTATGCCAATGTTCAATGCAGCATCACACACAACAGTCAAAAGGCGGAAAGAAACCACGTGTCTATCAGGAGATGAACGGATACACAAAACGTGATAATATACACACAATGGGTATGATTTTTTTTTTTTTTTTGAGATGGAGTCTCGCTCTGTTGCCCAGGCTGGAGTGCAGTGGTGCAATCTCAGCTCACTGTAACGTCCGCCTCCCGGGTTCAAGCAATTCTCTGCCTCAGCCTCCCAAGTAGCTGGGATGACAGGCACCTGCCACCATGCTCAGCTATTTTTTTTTTTTTTTTTTTTTTTGTATTTTTAGTAGAGACAGGGTTTTACCATCTTGGCCAGGCTGGTCTTGAACTCCTGACCTTGTGATCCACCCACCTTGGCCTTCCAAAGTGTTGAGATTACAGGTGTGAGCCACTGCACCCAGCCCTAGGAATAAAATTCTTAATCATGCTAGAAGATGGATGAGCCTTTAAAACATTAAGTGAAATTAGCCAGACACAAAAGGATAAATATTGCATGATTCCACTTAAAAGACTAGTAAGTTATACATATTTTACCAATAAAAAATATTCCAAAAAAGCTTTTAAAAATGCATGAAAACTGGTCCTCTCACACTGCTGTTGGATATACAAATTCACACAAACTTTAGGGAAAGTAATTTGGCAGTAAATATCTAGAGCTTTAAAAATGTCTAAACTTGGCCAGGCACAGTGGTTCACACCTGTAATCTCAGCACTTTGGGAGGCCGATGCGGGTGGATCGCGAGGTCAAGAGTTCAAGACCAGCCTGGCCAACATGGTGAAACTCCATCTCTACTAAAAAAAAAAAATACAAAAATTAGCCGGGTGTGGTGGCCCATGCGTGTAATCCCAGCTACTTGGGAGGCTGAGACAGGAGAATTGCTAGAGCCTGGAAGGTGGAGGTTGCGGTGAGCCTAGATTGCGCCATTGCACTCCAGCCTGGGCAACAGAGTGAGACTCTGTCTCCCCCTCCTCAAAAAAAAGTCTAAACTCTTTGACTTAGTAATTCTAGAAATCTACCCTAAGGAAATAATTTTAAAAGCCTATGTTTTAAGGTACTCCCATAAGGTGTTCTAAGGTTTTAAGATAGTCTTTTGAACACTGCTTCTATTTGGTAAATCGTGGAATATTTGAAATACCCAAAGGTGTCAGAATTGTTAAGTAAAAAATGAAAACTCTATGAGATTGAGGCTGGGCATGGTGGCTCATGCCTGTAATCCTAGCACTTTCGGAGGACGCGGCAGGCAGATCACCTGAGTTTAGGAGTTCGAGACCAGCCTGGTCAACATGGCAAAACCCCGTCTCTACTAAAAAAAAAAAAAAAAGAAAAAAAATACAAAGATTAGCTAGGTGCGGTGGTGCATGCCTGTAGTCCCAGCTACTCGGGAGGGTGAGTCAGGAGAACTGCTTGAACCCAGCAGGTGGAAGTTGCAGTGAGCAGTGAGATCACGCCACTGTACTCCAGCCTGGGCAACAGAGCAAGACTATCTCAAAAAAAGAAAGAAAGAAAGAAAAGAAAATTATATGAGATTATCATACAGAAATTTAAAATTATCAGTACGAACAGTTTATAAATTATATGGGACATTGCTTATGACAAAACATTAAGTAAAAAAGGGAAGATGAAACACATAAAAAATGGAAAGAAATGTCTGAAAAATTAATCTCTGGGGTGGGATCATGAGTGCCTTTCTCTATCGCTGCTTCTTTATTCTGAATTATACTTTTCCAGTTGTTGACAAGGAATACACAGTGGCGTTATTAATATAAATGCAAGGGGAAGGATGGGAGATCCATTGTGAATATTAACAGAAAAACAATTATTATGATCTTTAAGTGTCATTCTCTAGAAAACAAACTGAAAATGTATTTCACACTCTGGACTCCTGTTACCTGGATTTATTATTTCCTGTAGAAAGAGATTTTTAAAGCATTGGATTTTGTGTTTTCTCTTTCTTTTCAATGTTCCCAGTCTGGGATGATGAAAAGTTCTGAAGATTGAGAGTGATGATACTTGCACAACACTGTGAATGTACTTAATGCCACTGAATTGTACATTAACAAATGGCTAAAATGGTAAACTTGATGTAAACTTTAACACAATAAAAAAGTATACTACGAATAAAGCCTCCGTGGGTTTAGCTCGGGACTCCAATCACCATTTATATATTGTTCCTGGAGAAAAAAAATTCTGAATTCCACATTATGAGCTCAAAATTAATAACAATCGTAACTGATACTCACTGCAATATTTACATGGCCTTCTAAGAATGTTTGAAAACCCATAGGTTCTGACTTCTGATTTATGAATGCATAAGAAAAGCGTGGTGGTTTTGTAAGAACTGTGCTTGGATCAAGTGGATATACACATGGAAAAATCAAACAAATACTGATTCCTACCCTTAAACTATACATAAGATTAATTTCAGCTGGTTTGCTGACATAATTGAGAGAAGTAAACAATATAAGGCTTCTAGAGGATGATATGGTAGAGTATCATCACAACCTTGGTGCAGATGACCTCCTGAATAGGAAAGTGCATGTTGCTGAAGCTCACGCAGGGTGAGGAAAGCATCTGTAGGCAGGGAGTGGAAGGGAGGCAATAGCCTGGCAAAGGGTGCTGGAGCCTCAGCATGGTGACGAGGGTGTCTACATGGACAAAGCCGTGGCGGCAGCCTGTGTGTGGTTGGAACCCAAGTGAGACAGATAGCATCTATGAGGCAGTAGCTGCAGTCTGGCATAAGGTTTTGTGCTGTCAGTGGACTAAATGGGATCTTCTGGAGCCTGAGCAGCGTGAGAAGGGCGTCCAACTAGGGCAGCAATGATGACAGGAGATTGCTTATATACAGGGCATTCTGGTCCAATAAATAAATACATGAAGGATACTGACAGCAGGTTTCCTTGCGTCAGAAAAGGCAGTTATAAATATGAAAAGATAGAAAATTAGCATGAGACCTATGGTGTTACACTAAAATTGGAGGTATTGGTATAAACAGTTTTCAATATATATAGATAAATACAAAAATAAATATAGACATAAATGTGTGTGTATATATGTGCATAGGTCTGCTAACTATGAGGACCTGGATGCAGCTAACAGCTCAACAGCACGAATACACCTGGCATCCAAATCTTGATTTCTAAATACTCATTCTGCAATTTAAAACAACACAACATGGCCGGGCACGGAGGCTCATGCCTGTAATCCCAACACTTTGGGAGGCGGAGGTGGGCGGATCATCTGAGGTCAGGAGTTTGAGACCAGCCTGGCCAACATGATGAAATTCTGTCTCTACTAAAAATACAAAAAATTAGCTGGACATGGTGGCGGGCACCTGTAATCTCAGCTACTTGGGAGGCTGAGCCAAGAGAATCGCTTTGAACCCAGGAGGCAGAGGTTGCAGTGAGCCAAGATCACGCCATTCCACTCCGGCCTGGGCAATAAGAGCGAAACTCCGTCTCGGGGGGAAAAAAACCACAACACAAAACCAAACAAAACCAAACCATGGGTCTTTGAAGAAATGGCTGACTCCAGTGCTAGAGCTCAGCAAGCACAAGATGTGTGTAGACATCTTGCTGTACCAGAAGATAAGGGAAGTACTCAAAGAGGATGACAAAGGACACAGAAGTTGGCTTGAAGGGCTGCCACTGGCCAGACTGGGAACAATCTGTAACTCAATGATAACAATGGCATAACATCCACTGAATAAAATAGGAATCTGGGAGCCCATACTGATATAAATAAATACATCAATAAATAAATGAAGATAAGAGCATTTTCTTACAACAAAATGCTAACTAAAAATGTAATGATGGAATTATAAAATCATCATTTGGCAGCCATCATAGTAATAGAGTAATTCATTCAAGAAATATTAATGAATATTAAAACTTCCTGTTGCCAAGTGAAACGTCCATTCCAGTGGATGAATGGGATATACTCATACAAAAGTGTCTCCTTTCAAAGCATTAATGACAGTGGAGAAATCTGCAGACAATATCTGAATCAAGTGATCAAAGTTAACACCACCAGTAACGGGAAAAATCAAAATCATATATCATGTGATAAAATGTAATGAGAGTACAATACTTCCAGGATATTTCTACCAAAGGTATATAACTTGAATCTAATCATTAAACATCAGACAAACCCAAATTGAGTGATACATTACAAAGTAACTAGCTGCAGTCATCAAAAGTGTCAAAGTCATGAAAGTCTAACGTTATTTTTAATTCAATTTTATTCTAGTTTAAAAACAACTTTACTGAGGTAGAAGTGATATAAAAAACTGCACATATTTAAGGTATAGAATTTGATGAGTTTGCACATAGGCATACATCTATGAAGCCACTGCCATAATCAAAGTAACAAACGTATCTATCACCTCTAAAAGCTTCCTTGTGCCTCTGTTGTTTTTTGTTTTGGTTTGGTTCTTTTAAGGACACTAAAGTTTATTTTTTAAGTGTTTGAAAATGTCACAAATGTAATATGTTTTCTTATTAACAGTCTCCAGCCCTAACAATAGGATAATAGCTGATTAATAATCTACTTTGATAGCCAAAATAAGACAAAAGTACATGCTTATGTCAAATTTCAAAGCAAAGCACAAAAATTTTCTCCACTGGGCAGGTGCTCTCCAAAACCCTTTATGATAAACCATGAATCCTTTAATGTTACATTTTAATCCCACTTGTAACCCTCTGTCTCTGAGCCTCTTCTAGAATCACCTTCTTTAGACGAGGATGTGAATACCATTTAAAAAAATTCCCAGTTTACAGCATCTTAACCCATCCCCCTCTCTACAGGGCACTGACCAAGTTCCTTGAAGAACATAGGCCCCTGCCTCTTCCTTAAGGCCAACACCGCTGAGAAAGTCAACGACGCATCAACACACACAATTCCCTAATCACAACTGATAACCAATTCTGGTAACAAACAATTACAGAACAACAAAGTAATTCATTTAGTTCACTTGAAACAAAAATGCAGCTCTAAACAAATAATAATCAAATGAAGGCTGACTGATGAGGAACAGCAAAGATATCAGATCTGATCACAGGATGCTTTGGGCAAAGGTTTTAGAGCAGGGTAAAACTCCGGGGAGCTGTATAAGATTCTAAATTAGAAAATGTCAAACTTAAGATTCTAACATAAATAATGAAGCAGCAATATACAGTAACCATTATATTTTGGTTATTACAGAATTCAGTATGGCATTTTAAACTTGAAAAATCTTATATAACTATTTCATTAGACAGTGACTGTTATGCCATCATCCTTGTTTTGCTCCATTTGTATCACTCAATAAGATGAGATCTAAAGTTTTTCTGTTGTTGTTTTAAAAAAAATCTTGACCATGTGACTAGCAACGGTCTCAGTTGTTTCTATCCACAGCAACATCATGGAATCATTAGCCTCTGAGGCTGCCTTCAGAGACTTGTTTCCATGGCAACAGAGGCTATGATATTAACACCGTCACAAGGAAATTGTAAATTTCTACAAAATTGGATATATTGTACATATTTTAAAGTACCTTTTAAAAACCAGTATCAAATGGATGGCTATCTGAACAAATGTTTAAAGTGATTTGTTTTTAGAGATTAATTTTCTCTATAGCTTTATATTTTAAATCTAATTTAAGATCTTAAAATTATAAAAGCAGCACTTAAAACAGATTTTCATAAAGTGGTCTGAACACTCACTACATACAGCCATTTGCATCTGTTCTGCACATCCACATTTATGACCATGTACCGCCCTCCCTCACTTTGATTCATTGAAAAATAAATGTATATTGAATGAGCCTACTACTTTTATTAAAGCCTTTTCTGCTTAAAGCACTCAAGTGGTTTTCATTATGTGCATATGAACCCTGATTAATACAGGAAGAGACAGAAGGGACAATTAGGAGTTTACTGTAATAATCCAGCTGAAAGGTTATTGGTGGCTTAAACTGAATGGTGGTAATGGACATATGAGCAGTCAAATCAAGACACATTTTGAATGTAGAGTTGGTATATCTTGGTGACTGATGAGAAGTCTGGAGTGAGGAAGGCCTATTAACACTCACAATAGCCACTAAAAATGATCTTTTATACAAGAGTTCGACTCAGGTATAAAAGAGTTGCAAGGCTATCTAAATATATTTAAAAACATTTTCTCACTAATTTATTAAAATGACTTTCATAGCATAAGATGCAACTCCAAAGACGATAAATGAACATACTATCTGATAGCTAATAATGCTTATATTTTACATTAACACGTTATATGAAGGGGGTAAACTGACCTAAGAATATACACAAAGATTCACTACTGTATCTTTTTAATTCAACTTTTATTTTAAGTTCAGGGGTACATGTGCAAGCTTGTTACACAGGTAAACTTGTGTCACTGGGATTTGTTGTACAGATTATTTCATCACCCACATATTAAGAATAGTACCCATTTAGTTATTTTTCCGGATCTTCTCCCTCCTCGTACTCTCCACCCCTCACACCGGCCCCAGTGTGTTGTTCCGCTCTATGCGTCCACCTGTTCTCATCACTTAGCTCCCACTTATAAGCGAGAACATGCGGTATTTGATTTTTTGTTCCTGCATTAGTTTGCTAACGATGACGCCCTCCAGCTCCACCCATGTTTCTGCAAAGGACAAGATCTCATTCATTTTTATTGTTGCATAGTATTCCGTGGTGTGTATGTGCCACATTTTCTTTATCCAGTCTACCATTGATGGGCATTTAGGTTGACTGCATGTCTTTGCTACTGTGAATAGTGCTGCAATGAACCTAAGCGTTCATGTCTTTATAACAGAACAATTTATATTCCTTTGAGTATACACCCAGTAATAGGATTGCTGGGTTGAATTGTATTTCTGTTTTTAGGTCTCTGAGGAACCACCACATTGTCTTCCATAATGGTTGAACTAATTTACACTCTCATCAACAGTGTATAAGTGTTCCTTTTTCTCCACAAACTTGCCAGCATCTCTTGTTTTGATTTTTTTTAAAGTAGCCATTCTGAATGGTGTGAGATGGTATCTCGTGGCTTTGATTTGCATTTCTCTAATGATCAGTGACGCTAAGCTCTTTTTCATGACTGTTGGCCACTTTTGAACAGTGTCTGTTTACGTCCTTTACTCTCTTTTAATAGGACTGTTTTTCTCTTGTAAATTTCTTGAAGTTCCTTATAGACGCCGGATATTAGACCTTTTTCAGATGCACAGTTTGCAAAAATTTTCTTCCATTCTGTAGGTTATCTGTTCACTCTGTTGACAGCTTCCTTTGCTGTGCAGAAGCTCTTTAATTAGATCCCACTTGTCAATGTTTGCTTTTGTTGCAATTGCATGGTGTCTTCATGATGAACCCTTTGCCTGTTCCTATATCCAGAATGGTACTGCCTAGGTTGTCTTCTTAGGTTGTCTTATAGCTTTGGGTTTCACATTTAAGTCTTTAATCTATCTTGAGTTAATTTTTGTATGCACACTTCCATATTTTTAGAGAAAATGAGATATATGAATTAGCAAATCTTTTGGTACCAATATCTTAGATGGCAAGGAAAAGTATCAACTGTCGTGTCACTGTGGGTTAGTAAGGATCTTATTTTGGTTTTGTATGGCATAATTAATATTCCTAATCTAAGTTCTTTGGTTCTTTGTTTAAAGATGTATTATGCTGTAATGTGGCATGTTTCTCTGATTAAATGTCAAAGAAGCTATTTAAAAGTAAGAGAGAAACTAAAAAAAACTGCAAGCCTTTTGAATGTTTATAGAAGGATAAAATATAGCACAGTAGATTTATAAAAACTCTGCTTAGGAATCACTGTACTCAACGGGGGCCCAGTACCTTCAGAAAAAGCTGATTTTTATGGTTTAAATCTGTTTTTTTATTCAAATGTCCTTTGGTCCTGTCACTGCAAACAGGTATCTTTCACATAAGCCGGTATAGTAAAAAACCAACAATATGTTATTTGAACCAGCTTCATATGACTTCCATGTCATAACTATCTCACAAGCAAACAATTATAAAACTAAACACATTTTTAAACAAATCACTAAGGGTATTAAAATCATTAAATTTAAAACAAAACAAGGTAAATAGGAAAACAGATCTAGCAATTAATTCCATTACAGAAACATGAGTACAAGTGTGTTAGTTCACACAGACAGATCATCTAGTTCATGAATCTATCTCTACCTGTGAGACTCACAATATTCAGTTAAGGTTTCTCATCCCTCCATTATGAAAAGACAGTATTCTATCAGCATTCAGATGACAATCTTGTCCTAGTAAAGGATGAGCCAAACACGAAACATTTCAAAGTAAACAGACACTAAAACTTCAATATATGGTTACATAATTGACAAATGGGGATAAAATTACCAAATGCAATAATGTGCTTTTTTACCTGATTTTTATCAGAATGTGGCTAGAGAAATAAGCAAAACCACAGACTTCATGACTAATAACCTAAAATGGGCCCTTAATGCTTCCCAGTAATCAGATTTGCCTTGTATTATTCACCCTCTACAAGTCTGTAAGGATTCAGGTCCCTGTTATCACTCTCTCAAGTTGCCTTCTTCTATTTCCCCCACACAAATACACACATTTTCTATTGTTTCTTTCCTTTATTTTTCCTCCAGAATACCATATACACTCATACGTCACATATCAACATTTTGGTTAATGATGGTCCACATGTATAAAATTATAATGGAGCTGAAAAATTTCTACTGCCTAGTGATGTCATAGCCATTGTAATGCTGCAGTATAATGTATTACATTTGTGGTGACGCTGGCGTAAACAAATATACCTCACTGCCAGTTGTACAGAAGTATAATACATATAATTATGTACGGTATATAATACTTCAGAATGATAATTAACAACTATTTTACTGGTTTGTATATTTATTATACTATACTTTTTATCTTCTGTATAATTATATACAAAAATAAATATACACCGTATTCCCATTAACTGACATGTGACTGCATTTTGGATAATTATATTTATTATCTGTCTTCTTCTACTTAGAGCAGATTTCTGTTCTGTTCACTCCTATATGCCCAGTGCCTAGAAAAGTGCACACAGGAAGTATTTAATATATATTTGTTGAATGAATAAAACCATGCGACTGTCAAAAGAAATCAACTTAATCAGCACTCTAAAATGACTTGGGCAATAGATTGGGTAGGTACAGTCTTCCTTCCCCTACCCACTTTCATGCAATATACATAGTAGACATTGCTAAAAGGTTATTTCTGTGTTTCTGGGCAGCCACCACCAATCAGAAGGTGTTCAAGATGTTTTACAGTTTGATAACCTTAGAACAGAAGTTTCAAAATGTAAAAAATTGCCAGTTTCATGTTGTTCTCTATCTAGCAATAATGAATTGCCTAATAATGTCCCATTTGAAAATAAACATGTCTTGGTCAAGCATATTTGCTTAAAATATTTTCATCGCTTTTCTATTCAAACTGCATTAGGAAGTACAACTTCTTACTGAGGGCTCATATTTAAAATCCATGGTGCCCTTCCTCTGAGGTTCCACTAATTTCAGCTTGGGTCCTTTGTTCCCCTACAGGTAGCTACTTCTGTAAGTTAGTCTCGATTTTACCTTGGCATTCTCATTTTGCCTTTCCAGTTCTCCAATACTCATCTAACCAATCCCATGTAGTGTATTTTTATTGTTAGTTGCTGTGGTTTCTGTTTCCCTGGCTGCACCCTATTAAAGTTACCAACCCTCTAGCTAAAACATGGTTGCTTCTCCGTATCTCTAGATTCCTCATTTAAAGGTCAGAATATTTTGTTGAAATGAAAATGATGGTGGTGGCGGTGGTAGTGGTGGATAAAAGGGTAGTTGATAAAGATGATGATGACCTCACTGATGTAATTAATGTATTATAATAAGTGCTTTGCACATATTGTCTCATTTAATTCTCATTAAATTTTGAAAAAGATAACACTTTCATCCCCATTTTCTACAGATGAGGAGACAGACTCCGCATGGAGGTAATTTGCCCAAGGTGGCACAGGCGATATGGCAGAATATAAATTTAAATCCAGGTCATCATCCTCTAAAGATGGTACACTTACCCAGTACTCTTTACTTATCTCTTTAAAATAGTTCAAAAAGAGATTTTGTCTTTATTGTTACCACTACATTTTACTGCAAAGACAATATATATTACCTGTAAAAAGAAATACATACTGCATCAATCCTTAGATCAGGGGTTAGCAAACATTTTTGGAAATGACAAAAAAAGAAGCGTTATGGACCATGCAGTAATTGTTGCAACTATCCAACACTGCTATTGTAGTTCAAAAGTAGTCATACACAATACACAAATAGGCATGGCTGTGTTCCAATAAAACTTTATTTACAAGCCAGGCATGGTGGCTCATGCCTGTAATAATCCCAACACTTTGGGAGGCCGAGGCAGGCAGATCACATGAGGGCAGTAGTTCAAGACCAGCCTGGCCAACATGGCGAAACCCAGTCAGTCAGGTATGGTGGTGCACATCTGTAATCCCAGCTACTTAGGAGGCTGGGGCATAAGAATCACTTGAACCCGGGAGGTGGAAATTGCAGTGGGCTGAGATCGCGCCACTGCACTCCAGCCTGGGCGACACAGTGAGACTCTGTCTCAAAAACAAAACAAAACATTTATTTACAAAAACAGGTGGCAGGCTACATTTGGCCTACAGATTGTAGCTTGCTGACTCCTGCTTTAGCTGCTTTTAAAAAAGGAGAAAGAAAAGGCTAAATAAGTCAATGAAGAAAATAGAAAATGGCTTTAAGACACCTAAGTTAACTTTTACTAACTATAAATGGTTTAATTCTGTTGCAATTCTTAGTCTACAATAAAAATAAGCCAATTCTCTCTCCCCAAAAACCATGGAAGCGACAATTTAAAAAACAAGGAAACAAGATATACATATGGAAATTTCAAGTTTCACCTACAGTTCTTTAAAATATCTTTAATTAAAAAGTCTATATAATAAAGCTGTGCTCTTACAACTGAAAAAATTTTGCCTCTATACTGAATATAGCCTTCCAGTTTGGAAAAAAAGTGATTAAAATGATATGATTTTTATTCTCTTTTCTTTGTTCTCCCTTCAAAATCCTGCTATGGTACTTAGTTTGGCTAAAGCAATTAATTCTTAATATTGATATGCATCTTGTTTGTTTTCTTTCTATCTTACAAAATACTTTCCAACTGATTTCTTTCCAAATTTATAACCCTTTGATACATCAGATCATCCTACCAAGATTAGTCAGATTTATATACAGATAAATGAGGGTGGGATCTGTTTTAATTTAAATGCCAGTTTATTGCTCTTGAACGTGGCTGTTAAAAAAAAATTAACAAATAATTAAACACCAGGTTATAATCCCCAATTCTTTTTCTCAGAACAACAAAACAACACAAATTGTAAAGCAATCATTTGGTTCCACTCTGTCACAGCTGTAACTTCTTCACATTTCAAAGCTGCTCCAGTCAAGAAGTCAGAGTTTTGATTTCACAGATACTGAAAATACTGTTCAGAAATGCTACCAAATTGGGGCTTAAAGGAAAAAGAATGAATAGGAAGTGCTCCTGTTACGAAGTGAGGAGGGAAAATCTTTTAAATAAATGCCTGGAGGGGCAAGTTGCGTGTATAGGCTTCTATAAAATTCCACTGCTCCCAGGTGGCACTGCCAGTTGGTTTGTATTTGCATACGCCTGTTAAAATTACCACATCAGTTGGTTTAAAGTTTTCTTTAAAAGGTGGTAACTGTAGGCTACTGTTCTCTACATAGTCTGAACAACTATTTTTACCTTTATCAAAATTCTAAACTTTGCTATAAAAATGGAGGGCTGGAAATGTTATCTAAATAATAGTGCCAGGAAGTACAAGGAATAATTTAAGAAAATTTATTTAAAGAGACTGATACTAAGTAAAATTTTCATGATAAAAATTTAAGTTCTTCAGATATGTAAGAGTATAAATGCTTCACAATTTTTTCACAGAAGGATCTGAATTACTTCTGAAATTCACAACTTTACAAAATCTGGTAACATAGACTTGCTAGTTTTTAAGCCATAGTGTTACATAAAAATGGCTTGGGAAATTTACAGTGATCCAACAATATTTAGAAGTTCCAAACTTCCACTTCGTCAACAGCAGATTAAATAAAAATTAACACCTGTATAACATCTGTTTATTCATTCAACAAATATTTATCAAGTGCATTCTCCATGCGAGGCTCTGGGGATACCAAGGGAAAAAACCACACACCCTGTAGCATCAGCTCTTGTGAAACTTACAGTTTAGTGGCTGACATTAAACAAAATCATTATCCAAATGACTACTGAATTAGAGTCGTGATAAGAGGTATGAAGTACAATTCTCATGCAAACAAACATTACTTGAAAATACAGGAGAAAAATGTTGCTCAGGCTGACTTGCCCTGATCCCATAAGCATGGTTCAGTCACTTTTCAGCACTGTTATTAACACATTATTTTAAAGGTTAACTTTAAAACTTCTCTGAATATATTTAGAATATATAAATTATAGCCTGTGAAACTTCTTTTTGCCTATCTATCCTTGACAGAAACGCCATCTAAACAATCAAGACACTATACAGAAGCTACAAAGAAGAATAAAACACATTTCCTAACTATAAAGACCTTATATCATAAATTTCAAATGTCTTCAAGCTAAGCCAATCTAATCTACATTAAGACACCAATTTTATAGTTTTTAATAGACTTTATATATTTTTTTAGAGCAGTTTTAGTTCCCATATGCCCCCTGCTCACACACATAAACTATCCATAATCAACACCCCTGCATTTCTAATGTACATTTGTTACAATCAATGAGCCCACACTGCCACATCACAAAGTCCATAATTTACATGAGAGTTGACTGTGGGGGCTGGATATTCCATGGGTTTTGACATGTGTTTAATGACGTTTCCGCCATTATAGTATCATACAGAATGGCTTTACTGTCCTAAAAATCCTCTGTGCTCTATTATTTATCCCTCTCACCTAACCCCTGGCAACCACTGATCTTTTTATTGTTTCCATAGTTTTGCCTTTTCCAGAACGTCATCTAGTTGGAAACAAGGGTGTGTATCCTTTTCAGGTTGGCTTCTTTCACCTGGTAATATTCATTTAAGGTTCCTCCATGTCTTTTCATGGCTTGATAGCTCATTTCTTTTAGTGCTGGGTGATATTCCATTGTCTGAATGCACCACACTTTATCCATGCACACACTGAGGAATATGTTGGTTGCTTCTAGGTTTTGGCAATTATGAACACAGCTGTTATAAACATCTCTGTACAGGTTTTTGGGTGGATGTAAGCTTTCAATTCATTTGGGCAAATACCAAGGAGTACAACTGCTGGATCGTATGGTCAATTTTGTAATTTAAAAAAGCTTATATAACCATTGTAACCAACTACTTTTGGTTTAATCTTCATCTCTATGCTTTTCTAGAGTGTCCTATTGAACAAATGATATAAATTTTATTTTTATTTTTTATATTATTTTTTATTTATTTTTATTTATTGTACAAATGATAAAAATGTGTTGAAACAGTGTTTAAGAACCAATTTTTGAGTCAGTACATGTAGGTGCACTGTAAAAGTTTCCAGAAAAACAGAAACATAAAATAGATCCTACAATATTTTTTGTGTCAAAGGGGGAACAATTGATTTCCAAGTCTGAGTCATCATATTAATTTCGCAAAGTTAGTAGCCTTTTGAGTAGAAAATTAAGAAACAAATGTGTCTGCCAAGGGTCAGCATCTCACAGCCAGTACAACAGCGTTTCCATCCAAACTGTGAATGTTTGGGGAGTCAATACCAAAGGAGACTATTTCCACCAATTTCTCTGGAAAATAACCTATCAATTAGAGTCAGTATTTTCAAAGCAGTTTAAGAAGATTGTCTACCTACCCTATACGTAGTCTACTTTTTAGTACAAAAGCACTACACTAATGAATATGAACAATTCCATTCCTTGGAGATGAAGAAAAAATATTTTATCAAAACACAATTATCATTACACATGAGACAAAATGAATGTGGTATGTACCGATAACACGGTTAGGTCAATCAATCTAGGATGGTCCAAGATGGAGATGTCTTGGTGTGAATTTCAGACCTGTTGCCTGGTGGGAATAGTCAGAAAATAAATGGTTATAACAGAGTGACCCCATATGCCTCTATTTACTTGGGAAGTCTGTATTTATGCCTGTTGTCTCACTTTAATTATTAATGATTCCCTCTTTTCATTAAAGTATCCTAGTTTGGTCTGAGTTATATAGTTATCCCAGTTTTGAGGAAATTGAATTCTCTTCTCTCCCTACCTCATTTCCTTGTGTGTATTTCTTCTCAGAGGGCAAGTAAGAATCATCAGTTAGAGAACTATTACAATGCTAAATAAAGTGTGATGCGCGCTTCACAGAAAGTCTAAGGGAAAAGACAGACAAACACACCTGCTTGGGCCCTCCTTAGCACAAGTTCGTATGTCCCTGTCTCTTCACTCATTCAACAAATATTTTCTGGTTATCTACAGTGTGCCAGCCACTGTCACAGAAACTGAGGATACAACAATAAACATAACAGAAAAATCCCACCCACATGGAGCTGACAGTCAAGTAAAAAGACAGTAAAAAATGTATAATAAAGAATCAGGTAAGAAGACAGAGTAATGTCTGGAGTGAAGGGGTGCTACCTTAGAGGAAGCAAAAAATATTAACGAGAGAAGTTAGATGTCTACTGCTGTAGTTCAGGCAACATATTATTGAATCAGTAGTTGCAGAAGTGTTGAAAAGTGGCCAAATCATAAATATATCTTGAATAAAAAGCCAACAGGATTTGGCATCAGACTGGATACGGAGCAAAGAAAAAAGGAATAAAAGATAATTTTAAGGGTTTTTGTCTTCAGCATCTTAGTGAATGGCATACTGAATAAAGAAGATTGAGACCAATAAAACTAGAAATTCTCTTTTTAATATGTTACCTTTCAGATGCTTAACCGAAGTGGAGATACTGAGTAGAAAGTTAGATATAAAAGTCTAATGTACAGGGATTAACTCTGGAATAAAGAGAAATACTGATGGTATTT